>NC_000005.10:85564352-85867382 GCF_000001405.40 Homo sapiens
TCCCACTTCAAGACATTTAAGAATGATTTCTGAGCCTTCCTTTATGCTTTGTTATATTTACTCTCAGGATGTCTCAGATTCATATGTGGATCTCCCACTAGACTACCCAAATAGAGCATTTAAAAAATTCATCTAACCCAAGATAGTTGTAAAACTTATAACTGATTGAATCTTGATTTGATTAAATGTGGGAATATAAAACAGGCATCACATTTGCACAGTTGGGCTGAGATTTTGTAATGATGACCTATCTGTGAGAATGATCTTGAATCACTTCAAAATGAGGAATGGGGAATACTGAGAACCACAGATTAGAAAGGTCTATCATGCAGCCAAAATGAATTCATGTATTTATATTGAGGTTAAGTTAGATGGAATACAAGAAGGCCAAGTTAGGTTGGAAATTGAACACTGAAAGAAACATTAAAAATGAAATTGAGCAGCTTGATTTCGATGGACTGTGGAGAAGCATTTCTTGGGACTTAATATAAATAATTCTTCCTCAGAAAACCGCTTTATACATGGTGACATAGTTTGAATCTGTGTTCCCTGCCCAAATCTCATGTTGAATTATAGGCCCTAATGTTGGAGGTGGGCCTGGTGGGAGGTGATTGGATCATGGGGATGGTTTTTCATGAATAGCTTAGTACCATTCCCTTGGTACTGTCCTCAGAATAGTGAGTTCTTGTGAGATCTGGTCCTGTAAAAGTGTGTGGCACCTCCCACCCTCTCTCTTGCTCCTGCTCCTTCTCCTGCCATGTAAGATGCTTGATCTCACTTTGTCTTCTACTATGATTGGAAGCTTCCTGAGGCCTCCTCAGAAGAAGAGGCAGCTAAGCTTCCTGTAAAGCCTGCAGAACCATCAGCCGATTAAACCTCTTTTTCTTATAAATTAAACCTAGTCAGGTATTTCTGTATAGCAATGTGAGAAAGGATTAATGCCAATGGTTTAACCTAACCTATGATTATGCATTTGTAAAATCAAGTGTTAGAGGAAGGGTAACTATGGGAAGATACAAAGAAACAAATGAACAAAATTCAATGCCAAATCAGAGCACAGTTCTCATCCTTGAAACAGCTACAATTTCTCACTTCCTCTCCTCAGTGTAGACATCATTGCAGCCATTATGAACAGCCCTAGGGAATATTTTTGAAAGTGTGTTGCTTCAGTGTCCTACTCTTATTCCTGTCAATGCCTTGAAGATAATCCCTCAGCCATACCATGTTTAAATAGCTCCATATTATCCTGGTTTTGTGTCTACCACAGTTGCATCTCTCATTGTGCCACACTAAACTGTTCTCATCACTCTTTCTTTGTTAAACAATTATTTTATTTACCTTCTGTCATCCCAAGTTAACTGTTCTTCCTCTGCCTTCTTTAGATACCCTTTCTCAGTTGCTGGGCAGTTAACCATCCTCAACTCATTAAATAAATAATCCCAATGCTATTCCCTAAGGCCTCTTTTCTTTCTACATGTTCTCTCTACTTCTCTCTTCCCTCTCTCTCTCAGTGCTCTTACCAAATCCCATGACTTCAAAAAACAAAAATATATTTTAATAACAACTAAACTAAATCTATATTTCCATATTTCAAATTCAGAATACTCCCTTGATCTCTATACTCACAGCTACTATCTTCTGGATATTTTCATTTTGATATCAGACATGTATTGCCTCTTTTTCCAATTCCCCTTTCATCCATCAAACTCTGACTTATTCATCAAATTTCAGTGTAAACATTATTTTCTTTCTTTCTTTTCTTTACTTTTTTTTTCTTTTTGGAGACAAGGTCTTGCTCTGTTGCCCAGGCTAGAGTGCAGTGGCATGATCATGGCTCACTGCAGCCTCCAACACCTGGGTTGAAGCCATCCTCCTACCTCAGCCTCCTGAGTATCTGGGACTACAGGTGCATATCACCACACCCAACTAAGCTTTTGTATTCTTTGTAGGGAATGTTGCCCAGGCTGGTCTCGAACTCATGAGCTCAAAGTGATCTGCTGCCTTGGGCCTCCCAAAGTACTCGGATTACAGGTATGAGCCACCATGACCAGTCTCATTTTCTTAAAGAGGAATATTTTGCAACAACTTGCACCTTAAAGCCATAGCACCTTTTATACGCTTTTTATAGTCCAGGACCATAAGTTTCATAAAGAAAAGAGCTATGACTATTTTGTTTATTGTTTGATCCTAGAACAATATATCTAGCATAGATACATAGGCATTGATACATGCTAATCAATACACAATTGTTAAATAAATAATTTTCCTTGTCTACTCTCCACTGCACAACCATTCAGACCTAAAAATATAAGGGCTACCATGCACAGTTCTGCAATGTGTAGCCTATGACAATAGTCACTGAACAGGAGCTGACATGCCAAATCTGGCCTGTGGACTATTTGTCTGTGTCCTAAGAGCGAAGAATTCTTTTACTTCATTTTTAAATGCTGTAATAAAAAACAGAGAATATGTGATAGAGACAATATGTAGTCTGCAAAATCATATATATACATATACATATATATACACATATACATATACATATATACATATACATATATACACATATATATACACATATATACATATATATGTGTATATATATGTGTATATATATGTGTGTATATATATATATGTGTGTGTGTATATATATATATGTGTGTGTGTATATATATATATACTGGTCCTTAGAAAAATTGTGTTGACTTAAGGTCTGTGTGCATGCTGCCCCCAGATGTTTTGAAGTACACAAACTGTACAGCTGTCCAAAGTTGTTCTGAGAGAAATAATTCCTCCTGGATCCCTAAAATGTCAACACTATTTCCTGAATAATTCAAAGAATGGGATTTTCCAGGATGTTTCTTCTCCTACTTGATTTGACTTTATCTCTAGACAAAACACATGGCCAAACAAAAATCTTCCACAGAAACAATAACAAAAACATTGGCTTCATCTGGGCTAAGATTCTCACTCCTTAACTTCATTAGTCTGGTCAGTTGTGACTGACATTGTGTAAATCTGGTGTTCTTTAAAACTAGATTAAAAATTTCTTATTTTGCTATTTAATGAAAGCACAGAATGATGCTGTTATCTTACTGCTGTTTGACTACTGGCCATGGTTATTCCAGAGATAACAAACCAAAAAAAAATAAATAACTAAAATAAGATCTATATTTTCTTGCAAATCCTGCTACTGTGTAGTTGCAGTTTTTTTTAGAGGTCAGTGAAGGTTAAAAATAACAAGTATGTAGAAGTCTTAAATGCAAATACCAACTTTAAAAAGCCCTACAGTGAACTGTTTCCATGATATATAAGCAAACAATAACCTGAATATATCAAAATTACATTCTGTTTCTACACAGAAAGACAGTGTGAACTCCCTAGAAGCCACATAGCACAAATTTTATTTTTAAGAAGAAACTAGGATAATGAGAAAATCGCTAGGAAAGAAACAAGAGCTAAAAATTCAGTCAATCTCCTATTCCATCAATATGAAAGAAAATATACCAAGAACTCTGTGCTTTTCCTTTTAAATGAGAATCCAAAAAGAGAAAAATAGAAAGAATAAAAACGATGTCAATTCCAATTATTGTCATGTGTCTGGGTAGACATAGAACTTCTATGTGTGCTTTTAGATTGCTCTGGCTAGGTTTTATAAAAATGATTTACAAATAAGTTTGCTTCCTGAGCAAGATACAAATGTGCTATTTAAATAGGAAATAGAAACAGACCAGACTAAGCAGAGTTATCATACTTTTGCAACAGTCTTAGAGCAAGAATAGGCACATGAATATTTAATCTCTCAATCAGAAATTATAGAAAGCTTAGTCTTACTGCATATTGAAGGTAAAAGTGTAAGATCCTACAGTAATGGGTTTATAATGGATATACGATGATAGAACATTTATAAGAGAGTAAGAATAATTATATGTAGTTATAATATCCACTACATATTTATTTTTCTATAGATCCAATAAGTAAATAACTGCTAAGACTAGTAAACTGTCATAGTGTGATTTTTTCTGTAATAAATAAAATTTATTTTGAAAGGCCTATAAAGGGGAAGGATGAGTCTGGGATATAAGTATT
This sequence comes from Homo sapiens, assembly GCF_000001405.40. Classification (NCBI taxonomy): domain Eukaryota; kingdom Metazoa; phylum Chordata; class Mammalia; order Primates; family Hominidae; genus Homo; species Homo sapiens. Next base: position 85,568,442 of record NC_000005.10, read on the forward strand.
TTCTTAAATGTTTGTAGGAACTCAAAACATTGGATGCTTAAATAAAAGGAAAAAACTCCAGACTGGACACCAGAATCTCCAATTTCCTTGTTTACTACCAACCAGCTATGTGACCTAAGACAGCCAGCTAAAGAAACTACTATTCATGATGCATTTATGATGTGCAAGATGCTTTATAACTGCTATGAATTTTATAGTAGCTTTATGAAAGAGAAGTCATACTAATGTTACAGGTGAGAAACTGAGATCCATTAACTCGCCAAGGTCACACCATAAGTAAGTGGTAGAGGCCTTATATATATATAATATATAATATATATATATAATATATTATAAATGTAGTATATAAATACATTTAAAATATTTCAAGAAGTTAAATACTATATCAGTCTTTCAGCACAAAGTTTAATGAAATCAACCACTTAAAAATTCTATGAAAAAACAAACACCAGACATGCTGTTGTTGAAATCTCTATCTGAATTTAAGATCATGACAACATTCTGGCTTTCAATTTGTTGGGTATGTCCCACTTTTCCATAAAATAGTCAACTCATTTATCAGTATCCTGGATTTATGGCACTTAATCTACTAGAAAAACAAACAAGCAAACAGATAAACAAAGTAGAAACCTCTTGACTATAAAACTAGATTGGCACATTTTAACACTAAAGATGAAGACACAGCTTACATCTCTTTAATGGAAGGAGCAGTCAATACACTTAAGTGGCTACATAGCCTTCTGAAATTCTCCACTTTTTATATTATTGAAATATATTTTACCATTTCAGATGTACAATTGAGTTATTTTTAGTGACTTTACTAACTATGCAATCATAATCATAAATCAATTTTAGAGCATTTTCGTTCCACCAAGAAGATCCCTCATAATTACCTACAGTAAAACTCCATTCTTATCCCCAGCCTCAGGCAACCACTAACGTACTTTTAGTCTCTACATATTTGTCTTTTTCAGACATTCTTTATAAACAAAATAGTGTGGTCTCTTGTGTCCGGTTTTTCTTACTTAGCATAATGTTTTTGGTAGGCAGAATAATGGTTTCACAGATGCTCACACCTTCATCCCAGGAATCTGTGAACATGTTACTTTACATAGCAAAAGGAAATTTGCAGTTAAGGTTAAGAGTATGGACGTTTTAAATAAGGGAAATATCCTGCATTGTTCAGGTGAACAAATTCTAAACATCTAGGCTCTTAAAAATGGAGAATCTTTACATGCTTTTGTAAAAGAGGGAGAATATGACTTCTGAAGGATGGTCAGAGAGATGCAGTGTGGCTGGCTTTGAAGGGGCAGAAGGGACCATGGACGAAGGACTGTTGGCTGCTTTTAGAAGGTGGAAAAGGCAAGGAAGCAGATTTTCCATTAGAGACTCCAGGAGTGATCAGTCCTACCTACACCTTGATTTAACTCAATGAGATCTGAGTGAAAACTCTAAAGCTATACTTTTTTTTTGTATAGCTACCTTTCATTAGAATTATATCTACACAATTTAAGATAATAAATATGTGTTGTTTTAAATCACTAAGTTTGTAGTAATATGTTAATGCAGCAATAGAAAACTAATAACAAGGCTTTGGAGGTTCATTTATAGCATAAGCTTGTGTCAGTAGTTTGCTAATTTTTATTGCTGAATAATATTCCTTTGCATTCATTGAAACTGCCAAAGTTCCTTCAAAATGGCTGCACTGGCAATAGAGGAGAGGTTCTTTTCTCCACATCCTTGCCGACATTTGTTACTGTTTGTCTGATTATTAAAGCTATTCTAGTGGGTGCGCAAATCTTGTTGTGTGTTAGTTTGTATTTCCTTAATGACTAACAATTTCAAACATCTCGTGTGTTTATTAGCCATTTGTACATCTTTGGTGATGTACAATTTTAATTAGGTTATTTGTTTCTTACTCATGAGTTCTTAGAGTTATTTATAACATCTGGACAAAAGTCCTTTGATGGGTGCTTTGCAAACACTTTCTCTGTTGCTATTTTTCCTCAATTGTCTTTTGACATGCAAAAGTTTTAAATTTTGATGATGTCCAATTTATTATTATTTTCTTTTATGTACTATGCTTTTGATGTTGTATTTAAGCAATATTTGCCTAAGTCTTTCACCATTAAGTATATTAGCTATAGGTTTTCAGAGTTGCCTTTCATCAGGTTAAGAAAGTTCTTTTTCAAGTTTGTTAAGAGTTTTTATCATGAATGATTATAGAATTGTGAAGTGCTTTTATTATGTCTATTAAAATGACTTTTTATTCCTTTTTTCTATTAATATCAAATATTATATTAACTGACTTTCAGATGACAAACCAGCTTTGTATTCAACAGATAAATTTCATTTAGCAATGATGGTGTATAATCCCATGTATATCCCATGTATATATGCTTGAATTTTATTTGCTAATATTTGTCAAGGATTTTTGCCTTTATATTCATAGGGTCTTTTGTTCTGTAATTTTTCTTTCTTAGAATATATTTATCTAGCTTTGGTATAAGGGTGATACTGGCCTTATAGAGTAAATTTAGAGATGTTTCATTCTCCTTTACTTTCTGGAAGAGTGTGAAGTATTTGTATTTTTTCTTCTTTAAAGTTTGATAAAATTCAAGAGTTAAGAAATTTAGGTCTTGGCTTTTTCCTTGAAAGATCTTAAATTACAAATCAAATTTCTGTACTCTTTAATCTATTCAGATTTTCATTTTATTATTGAGTCAGTTTTATTAAATTGTGGCCTTCTAAGAAATTGTCTAGTTTGTATAAGTTATTTGTTGTCATAAAGTTATTCATAGTATTCCTTTATAATTCTTTTGATTTCTGAGTATCAGTGATAATGTTTCTTCCTTCATGCATATGTTTCATGATTATGTGTTTTCTATTTTTATTTGTTAATGTAGCTGATCTTAAATCTGTATATCTCGTGACTATTTTTAAAGAACCAACTTTTCATTGCATCGATTTTCTCTGTAGTTTTTCTGTATTCTATTTCACTAATTTCCATTCTAAACTTTATTTTTCCCTTCATTCTATGTCATTTCAGGTTGTTTTGCTCTTTGGTTGCTCCTAACGCCTGCTGAGCACATACCAGTGTTGTAGCCAGGCCAGTCTTGCAAATGGGATGCTCCTATTATTGAGGCAGGTTATAATTTTCATTCCTGTGACCATGACCACATTTCTCATAAATCCTGTGGGGTAGCTGGATAAGAAAGGTGAATTGTATCTAAAAAATAAGTCCAAATCTGCACACCTAATTATTTGGAAAGACCCACCTCTTCAGAGGGGACGCCTTTTGATAGAAACTCAGAAGGCCAAAAATATTCCCTCTTTCTTGGCCCCATGTTAACAAATTCATTCATGTAATCCTTTTCCGGGTCTGTTTTTAGCCAGTATACAATTGTATGAAAACATTAGCTGTTAAAATATTAGTATAAAAGTTTATGAAGAAAAATCTTTACTTTTTGAAACCATGTTATTTCTGAATGTTGCCTAGAAGCAGAGCCAGAGTGAAAGCAGGTGGCATTTGGTAGCCGTTAAGCAGACCAAGAAAGGGTGGGGTATTTTTGTATGGGAATGCGGAAGAGAGGTGAAGGTGTTGCTGCTCTAGAGTGGCCTAGGGTAGTCAGGGTCAAATATCCCCTTGGAAGCCTACACTTTCCATAGGGGAGTTTTGTTGAAAATACTGACATCAGTCCAGCCTTCCCTGTCACTTCGTCTGCTGCATTCACCAACTCTAGTCAATATTTTAACAGCACAAACTTGAGTAGAGGTTTTTCCAGTTGATAAGAATAATTTTTCCAGCTATATAACCAGTAAATAACTACAAGGTAAATTCTGTTTTTTACTGAACCTATCATAAAACAGACATAAGTCATTTATCACCTAATGCTACCATAAGCGCCAATGGACCATATTAGCATTTGAGGCATCTCAGGTCCTCAGAATTAATATTAGCACATGGAATCCAGAATTTCTGACAAGCTCACCCATATTTCACTTTATTATAGATTAAATTTAATTAATTTAGATGCATCCTTTTCTATCCTTTGTCTAGTGAGTTCAAAATTCATTCATATAATAAATTCTGTAGTTGATTGTGTTTATAAAATGTGAAAATGTGAGTCTTTGCAATTTTTCAGTATTTTATTTTTCCTTTTCAGATTCTACTTGGAAGTCGTTTATTGGAACCCAGGTGATGCTGACTCTGTGGAGCTGGAGACAATGTGACATAATGCGGAAAGGCAAGAAAGGAATTTATTTTGCCTTTCAAAGTAATGCTCAAATGAGGCTGTAATAGGGTCTTCAGGCAAATAAAGAAACCATTTCAACAAGCAATTTTAGAGGGGGTGCTCTTCGGGCAAAGAAAACTTTATGAAAGCTATGGATTTGATGTACTCATATATGACTGCCTTCATATATCCCATTTAAATTTTCCAGTTGCTACTCATTCCAGGACAGGGACCAAACTTTTAAATAAGAAATTTCCTGATGAAGGCTTGTAATTTGGCAAACTGCAGACTCAAACTACCTATCTGAAATTTGAATTCAAGTAATTAGGCCATAAAGATAGAAATGTTTGATTATATCCTAGAATGTTTCCAGTCTAGTCAAAAGCATAGGCATTTGATCTTTTCATTATCTTTATTTGGTCTTTCTAGTGACATTAGAAGCAATATATGCCTTCCCACAGTTTTGGAATTACACATGTTGTTCATACTAGCGCAGAACATAAACTATTGTCCCCTAAGATATTAACTTTTAGAGGCTTTCTATTTTATAATTTCAGAGACAGTAATTTACTTTATAATTTCTTTTTTATTTCCATGGTTTACTTTTCTTTCTTCAGTGGAAATTATTTATTTTACTTCTTTTAGTTCCAAGTAAGCAATGTAGCCAATTCCAGATTTCATTTATTTCTCTGAAATGTTGTTGGTGTTTAACTCTTCTGGTACAAAAATTTCTAGGTTTCTTTGTTCTGAACAATAACTATTATCAGTTAAAATCAAACCAAATTTATGTATTGAATCAAAAAGGAAAGCAGGGGAAATTATTAGAGTAAGAGAAAATGACACAACATTTGTTCAATTCCCTCATTGAGAATGGCAAGCTTAGGACACTGTTTCTGGTGCAGTCACCAGCAGGTGTTTGTCACTGTGCCACAGGGTCTCACAATTGCTACAGCCTTTTTATACATCCTAGAACTTAGTTTTACACCTATTTAATACTTCCTGCTGATTCAAATAGTTAAGCAGAATGATTTCAATTTGAATGTACCATTAGTTCATATGATCATGGCAGAATATCTGCTGCATTTTATTTCTATAAAGTTTGGGTTCTCCTTTCTATATATCTTGGTATTCTAAACAGGATGTTAAACTCTGTCCAGCCAAGAACATGATAAATGTATAATACATATGAATATATGTATTATACATTTGAATATATAATATATAATTATACATTTTTGTATAATATATAATTATACATTTATACAAATATATAATTATACATTTGAATATATAATACATATGAATATATACTTCAGGTTACATTTTCCAATTCATATCATCTTCTGTATCAATGTGAGATCAAAGATGTCTTATGATGTCCAAAGATCATCACAGGCATAGTATGAAAGAAATAAGCATGTCTGCGATTTATCTTCCTTATTCAACCAAAGGTTGTAAATAAATGTCAAGGTAGCTCTCCTTTCGAAAGTTAATATTGATATTATGTCTTTATGATATCCTCAATTCAATCACAGACTAGTCCAGGAATAATGTTTCATGTGTCCCAACCCCTCCCTCTATGCAGATTAGCTTATAACCTTGAAACTTTTTAAGGTATGTTCCTAAAGTCTGCAGAATTAGGCTATTTAATCTTTTTCCCACACAGTACTTCTAATTTGACCATGATCTGGCTGTTTCTAAATTTATTTTATTGCCCATTAGAACAAAGAGAAAGAGCTGTGATTAGTGATAACTATGGGTCATAAGAGGAAGAGGGAGAGAAGGGTGTCAAAAATTCTTTCCAACTGGGTAGTTTTCATGAAAACTTATGATTCTTAAATGCTGTCAGATATTTTAAATAAAGGTAACTAATGGTCATTTTGTAGGTATTTTTAAAATGTTAAACTGGAAGGTTCTGAATATCTCATTTTGAACAACAGCTTAATAAATAAGTCAAATCTTTTCAAAATGGTTTAAACTTTTAATCATATGATTGTTAATCTACTATAATAATCAGACATCTTTAAAATTCATTGCTATATCCTGCATCTATTTAATCATTTCAGTCATCTTGGCATTAATAAGTATTGCTGAATGTAAAAATGCTAAAAATTAAATGCTATCTGGATTCCTAGTACTAATATGCCACAATTTTCCTAATCCATCTGGAGGGTTTTTAACTTCTATTTGACAATTATTACTTATTATGCCAACCAAACGTCCAAAAGAGGAAAATATCTTCAGATGAGATCATTGATGATAAATATCATCATTTACTCTTAATTCTTCTCTAGACACCATTCATGACTTTTGTGCAATAGGATGTGTGTGTTGTTATGATATTCAACATTAACAAAACTGGAAGAGAATAGAGAATATTGTTGTCATCTATAGTGAAAGTCATAGGTAGTACATTTCATAGAAAATTAGTCCTTAGAATTAAATTTGAGGCATACATCTTACTCCCTTGAAATTCGTATGTGTGCCAGAACCAATAAAGCCACACAATTTTCTAAGTAAGAGTTATCTCTTTTTGGCACCATATAACCCTGGTGATGTTACAAATGTCACTGCTACTGGCTAGGGATCCTGTACTGGTAACAACGAGTGGAAAATATTTAATAATATTTCTATTCCAAGTGGTTAAATAGAAATTCACATTCTTATTTATTATTTTTAGACTGTCTATAAAGTGCCTATTATAGAGTTTTTCTTGTTCCATGGTTTTGTTTGTTTCTTCTCCATTATAGATAATTTCATATAATTTTATATTTGAAAAAAGACAGTAATTTGCTATTGTGAATTAACAGACTGCGATAAAATATTTTAATGTAGTTGAATATTAGAGTATTATTCCTGCTACTCTTTTATTGTAATCAGAATAAAATCAACACTGGCCAGTGAAAGTAAATGGACTATGAATTCTAACGATCATTTGACTCACATATCTTTCTATAACATACCCTGTGAAAGATATGGGATGTGAGAAGGGTAATGTCTTGTTCCAAGTGCCCAGAGATATAACTCAGGAAGGCATCATGTGAAATTATGCTTTAGGGTGCAATACAGGTGTTGTGCAAAATAGACTTACATCGTCTATTTGCTGCTGCCTGTATGTTTGATCTAGAGAAAGACTTTATGATACATCAAAGTATACACGTCTCAAAGGGTGACTTTGACTTTTTACTTACAAGTTTTTCAAGATTATATTATGTATGTCAGACTAGCTTTTCCATTGTTCTTCATTTTCATAAAATTTCCATGTGAGATAGCCTGAGTTATATTTAGATCAAAAATATGTCTAATTAATATAAACCAAAGAATTAATCATATGATTTATATAAAAAGATCTTTGATACATCACTGCAAGATATTGTTCATGCTTTTTCCTTTCCTATATTCAACTGAGAGGACTATATCTCTGTAGACCATTTTCTAACTCTAAAATCAAGACAAAACAAAGCAAAAATCATTATGCTTTCCACAGCATCAGAGGGAAAAAATACTGTTTCATGTTTCTTTTCAGAATATTTCTTTGAGTAAAGCTTATACATCTAAGTAAAGAAATTTCCAAGGGGGATCTAGAATAGGCTTCAATTGGTACTTAGCAGGGGAAAAAAAAGAGGCTGTCAGTCTGACACCTAATTTTTTAGATCTTTCCTGATGACCCAGTTGACTTTGAACTGCCAACACCTACATCTCTGTGCATGAGAGGTTTTTGTTCCTCCTTTACTAAGGGAAAGCCATACTGCCCCATTAAGTGTACACATGTGACAAGTCCAGCATGCCAGACAATGAACCATCCCCAGGAACATTTCTGCAATGGTTGGAATATGTGTCCTCAAATTTCATGTGTTGAAAACTTGATCTCCATTGTAATGGTATTAAGAGGTGAATGTGTTATGAGAGCTCTTTCTTCATGAATGGATTAATGCTGTTATTATAGAAGTGGGTTTGTTAGCAAAGGATTGGGTTCCTGATAAAAAGAATGAATTGGGCTAGATTTCCTCTCTCTGTTTCTCATGCTCTTTCCACCATATAATGACCCTTACCAAATGCTAGTGGCATGCTCTTGGACTTCCTAGCCTCTAGTACCATGAGCTAAACAAATTTCTCTTCATTAGAAATTAACTAGCCTTAGGCGTTTTGTCACAGCCACAGAAAATGGGCTAAGACAATTTCCCAACCAATGAATCACCACATTTGGTGTATAATTACTCCAACTCTTTCACCCCACAGATGGGGTATTTCTGAAGTGTGTTTATGCATGACTTCCCAGAGCTCTCCAACAGTATTGCTCTCTAATCATCCACTATGGTAAACTGTTTTCAAATTGGAGTTTATTATCTCTCTTTTCTTTTGTGTTTCACTTCCACCATTTTCCAGCATACTGCTTGCATCAATACTTGTCTCAGAATTTAATTAATGAAGACAGTATTAGGTGATTAAGCATATTGTACATGTACTGTAGGAAACTAAATAGTAAATGCCTTGTCATAGAAGGCTGGCCACTCTACAGATCCACCCTACTGTAGACATGTGAAACACGGGACCAGATGGCAACAATTCTCAGAATGCCAAATTTGGGAAGACAAACTATAAACTACATTTTTATGTAAAATTGCTTGATTATTTTAAATACAGGTGACTAATTGGATTATATTTAAATCTACATGGTGATTAAAAACATATCAAACAAAGTGGTTAATATTTTTTAAAAAACATATTTTTTCAAATGGTCCTCTAGCTCTCTTTGATCTATCATGTCTAGTTATAGACATCTTGCCTGTTATGGACCACCGTTAAAGCTAGAATCCATTAAAATAAACTGATAAATTGGTTATAGCAATATTATCAATTGCTGTATATTCTCTTTCCCAGATTCAAAAGGCACAAAAAAAATCTGCTATTTTTTTAGTCATAGATATCCCAAAGTATAATAGCTTCTCCTTTACTTTAGAAAGAATATCCTGGCCTATTCCAGGTCATCGGCCCTTTAATGACTTCATCAGTGAGACTTGTTTCTGAATATATGTACATTATCTTCTATCCTCTGATAAGCATATATGACAGTTCATCAGGACTCATTAACATGAGGTCATTAATATCGTGGAACAGTGTAATATTCTGGAGAATGCTGCCATAGTCAACTTGCTGCATATTATATAATGATAGACAGTAGTTCCATCAATCAGGTTTACCCAAATAAGGCTGAATAACAAAACCCAATAACATAAACTGATAATCATGTATTTTTTGCTTATGCCTCTGTGAGTCATCTAATATCTGGAATTTCTAGGCTGCATGCTGCTTGGCTTGACTACCAAGCGTGGAATGAGTTCCAGACTGCTCAGTGTGTCTAATTCTTCCAAGCCAGTGGGATACTAGAACATGCTACTTCATGGGAATAGCAGAAGTCCAAGGAGCCAAATCCAACTATGCAAACACTTTCACATCCCACTTCACAATTCAGTTTCTAATATTCTATGTCCAAAACATGTCATATGCCAAGCCTAGTATCAAAGGGAAAGGAAGTATGCTGTTTTTATAGATGTGAGACATAAAAACAGAGTAATTGCTAAACAACAATCCAATTTATCAGACTTCATTCTGAACTATCCATGACAGTTCATGGATATATTAATATCCATGTCCTTCGTGCATGCAAGATATACTTAGTAACATTAAAAAGCTCCTAAAATTCTTCTCCATTTATGGCCACAAAACACTCAGGGTTCAGTATATTGTGACTGACACTGAGTCCAGTTGAGACTCCTTTTGTTACAGAGAACTGTGAAATAAAATCAAGTTATTTGTCTTCCACATATCAAAAATATGATGATGAATAGAAAGCTATTAACCACAATAAATGCTCTTATTTGCAAAAGAGAAGATGATGATGAAAGGAGCAGTTACTGATCTATAGTAAAGGGTATTTATTTACCTTAGAAGATAAAGGTTTCTCTCTCTCTCTCTTTCTCTCTCTCTCTCTCTCTCTCTCTAGATGGAAACTGGAACAGATATTTCAGTCACCGAATATAGGGTCTTAATCTCAGTCTCAGAATTTTTGAGTTCCTCTCCTGTGGGACAAATCCAGCTGGACATGAAAGTGTATTTGGCCTTCACTGTGTCACCTCGTGGGGAATTTGCGTGTGAGGAACTTGCACTTCTCAGATGCCCTGAAACTACATAAAGGTCTATTCCAGAGATCTTGTGTTTCTCCTTAGAAAATACATGTATATTTATACATGTGTATGTACCTATAATTATATACATCATTAATTTGAAGTTTTCATCTCCAAGGAATATCTTTACTTTTCTTCTCCTCCAGTGCAGCCATACAGTAAAAAGTATACTACAAATATTTTTCTATTATTTTAAATGGGTTGTACTACTGAAATTTCTCTGCATATTTTATTTCCTAAATTTCCAGCAGTTATAGACTTAGTCTCTAAACAGAAAAATATTAGAGACTTCTGGACTGCTCTTCAGCTGCAGAAGTGGTTTCCATTTCTATTGTTTTCAACCCTACTCCTTCTCTGGATAAAGGATCTATATTACTAAATTTTTGTGATTTTCTCTGGAAAGTGATTGCTAGTGGGAAAATATTTTCTGTTTTTTTTTCTATTATTACTCCATTTTAGCCTTATGAAATTCAGAGTCCTTAAAGAGTCTGACATTTAGATGGAAGCTTTTTTTTAAGCTTGACATGTATTTATGATTTTTCTCCTTATTTATCAAATGCTCTGTTCTATTATCATTTTGATAAGAACTCATTCCCCCAGTTTTAACCATACACTGCTGAAATGTGTCTTCTAATCTTTATTTTTTCATTTGTAGTTACATTTAATATCTTTCTTACTCGGTTAACAAGTTGGAAATGTCCTATTTAGGTCCTGCATAGAACACTAGCCTGATCCTATCAGTGTAGCCAACAATAAGCTCTATAAGTTTTCATAATTTTGACATAATTTATAATATACAATAATTTTATACTCATGTCATAGGTATACACTGTCTTGTGATTATTTTTGTTATGATTTTATTAAATGTTCTAATGTTATTAAAATTTCCCCTTCCCATAAGTTGTTACCTCCACTAAATTTTAAGCCTCCAAAGATAAAATCCAAGTACCCCATAGATAAATAAAGTAGGCACTCAAATATTTTTTAAATTAAATATACTTAATGGGAGAATAAATTCAGCGACTCTTTTCTCTTCCCTATAGATATAAAAATGATTACAAATAAGCATTACTTATATTATTACCACGTTTAAATAACAAATTTGGTAAGTGAAGGTATAATAAAATATATAAAGTACATATTATATCTAAACACTTAGGGATTTATTTTCTAATATTGCATTTTTCAACCATATTCCATGCTGGTTTTTACCCACAAACATAGTCTCTATTTAGCAAATCACTCTGCCAATTGATAGGAAGAGTTTCCATTGCCTCCTTCAGTGAAAGTCACCATTAACAGTGGATGATTGCTTTTCCCTTTCCAGGGTCATTGACTATACCACTATCCACCAAAGAATCTTTGTAAATAATAAACACATTTCATGCATCATAGCTTTTTGGAGAATACTGGGCAGGAAGCTTCCTGTTTTGAGTTATGTTTCCTAAAACTAGTTCATGATACATTTTACATTTTCTATGTCTGGTGGTGTTTACCATATCCCTAAGTCAAAAGCCAAAGATGACTATATTAGTCTACTAAGTCAGCCATAACAACATACCACCAACTGGGTGGCTCAAACAACAGAAATTTATTTTCCCACAGTTCTGAAGGCTGGAAGTCCAAGACCAAGATGTCAGCAGGGTGGGTTTCTTTCCTGAGGCTTCTCTCTTTGATTCGCAGACAGCCTCCTTCTGACTGTGTCTTCACATGGTCTTTCTCTATGCACAGTATCTTTGAATGTTTTTCTCTTTCTAAGAACACCAGTCATATTGAATTAGGCCCCTCTTATTACCTCACTTAACACTAATTAACTCCTTAAAGGTTCCATCTTTATTTATCATCATCACATTTTGGATTAGGGCTTCAACAAATGAATTTAGCTCAGCCTATTAAAGTGAACATAGGGCCAAAATATCATAGACTATGTCCATATGTGTGGAAGAATGTGTAAATTCAGGTGCATGAGTGACAGCTGTGTGCTTAAAGTGTGTATGTGTGCAAAATATTAAGCTTGTATGAAGGCTAGTATACATAAATATACAAATATAAATAGCAAACTAAAGTCTTATTTGAAATTCCGATTGGAGTAATAGTAATTTCTTATCTTAAAGAGGACCATATATTTAATTGCCATTCACACTATGTGATAAATAGTGAAGGGAGAAATGTCCTCCTGTGTAGGGATTACTAACCTTGTGAAAGCCACTTATTCCTGAGAAGTACAAAGGCATACCTTTCTAAGACAAACCAGTACCTTCTATAACTCCAGTAGTCCTTAATAAATAAATAAATTGTAATGATCTATTTAATATAGTGAGTTTTCAACTCCCACTTCATTAACAGTCACTAAGGGAGAGTAGAAAAGGTGGTGGCATAAACATGGATCAGCCATCTGCCCCTTCCTGGGATTTAGAGACAGGGCCAAATTTAGCCTCTTAAGATCCCTGTAAGCATGAAGTGGATATTCACTGAAAGCCCTGTCTCCACATAAATAGGGTTGGTTTCCAGATAAATCATGTCCTGTGGATGCTGGAAGTTATTTCTTCCTATCCTTACAAAAGCTCATGAAATAAGGTATACTCGTGTAAGAGAACATATTCTTCTTCAGGCCAGAAAATGTCTTGTTTTTTGCAAAGCCTTATTCGTAATTGTTGTTCTCGTTCAGAGGGAAAGACACCATTACAAATATATCATTACCTATGCCTATTTGTATTAATCTGATTGAATAAACCACCAAATTTCAATGTGTTGGATATATATTCACAGTAACCCTTATTATTATTTATGCAAATTCATTCTGCCTACGAACCTAGAGAAGGCAGTTCAGCTAATGCTAGTTTTATTCTACAAAAATCTGTACACATTTCACTACTCATCCTTAAAGGGGAGACTAAAAGGTGAATTCATAAAAGTTCTCTATTTAATTTTAAAATGTAATACACATGGACATAAAATCTGTTAAACAGACAATCATGGTAAGTGTATCTTATTGTATGCAACATTTTAAAAGTTGCTTGCCCCTTTGGCTAGTCTTAACATTTATTCGTATCACATATCTCTGTTTGTAAGGCCCTGAATTAAAGTCACTTTATCTTAAGGGAAATCGTTTTGGAGTCCCACTATCTATGATTAAAAGCTAGCTCTGTCCTTTATTATCTTAACACTTCACTAAGATATAATTTTCCTATTTGTAAAATGGAGATAATAATAGAAGTTGAATTATGGGGTACTATTGAAGATGCATATGTATCATTTTTATAGACATGTTTGCAGCTTTCTAGTTTTTTTCTTCATTATACAAATAATATACAAATTCCCACTTTCCTCCTTTTTTCATATTAAAAGTCTTTTGTAGTCTAAAAATTTTTTTTAGTCAATTTTTTTGATCATACTTTAAGTTCTGGGATACATGTGCAGAACATGTAGGTTTGTTACATAGGTATACATGTGCCATGGTGGTTTGCTGCACTCATCAAGCCGTCATCTACATTATGTATTTCTCCTAATGCTATGCCTCCTCTTACCCACCACCCCCGAACAGGCCCCAGTGTGTGACGTTCCCCTACCTGTGTCCATGTGTTCTCATTGTTCAACTCCCACTTACGAGTGACAACATGCAGTGTTTGGTTTTCTGTTCCTGTGCTAGTTTGCTGAGAATGATGGTTTCCCAGTTCATCCATGTCCAAGCAAAGGACATGAACTCATTCTTTTTTACGGCTACATAGTATTCCATGGTGTATATGTGCCACATTTTCTTTATCCAGTCTATCATTGATAGGCATTTGGGTTGGTTCCAAATCTTTGATATTGTGAATTTGCTATTGTGAATAGTGCTTCAATAAATATATGTCAGCATGTGTCTTTTTAGTGGAATGATTTATAATTCTTTGGGTATATACCCATTAATGGTATTGCTGGGTCAAATGGTATTTCTAGTTCCAGATCCTTGAGAAACTGCCACACTGTCTTCCATAATGGTTGAACTAATTTACACTCCCACCAACAGTGTAAAAGCCTCCACATCTTCTCCAGCATCTGTTGTTTCCTGACTTTTTAATGATCTCCATTCTAACCGGCATGAGATGGTATCTCACTGTGGTTTTGATTTGCATTTATCTAATGACTAGTGATGATGAGCGTTTTTCCATATGTTTGTTGGCTGCATAAATGTCTTCTTTTGAGAAGTGTCTGTTCACATCCTTCACCCACTTTTTGATGGGGTTGTTTTTTTCTTGTAAATTTGTTTAAGTTCCTTGTGGAATCTGGATATTAGCCCTTTGTCAGGTGGATAGATTGCAAAAATTTTCTCTTATTCTGTAGGTTGCCTGTTCACTCTGATGATAGTTTCTTTTGCTGTGCAGAAGCTCTTTAGTTTAATTAGATCCCATTTGTCAATTTGGTCTTTTGTTGCAATTACTTTTGGTGTTTTTGTCATGAAGTCTTTGCCCATGCCTATGTCCTGAATGGTATTCCCTAGGTTTTCTTCTAGGGTTTTTATGGCTTTGAGTCTTACATTTAAGTCTTTAATTGATCATGAGTTAATTTTTGTATAAGGTGTAAGGAAGGGGTCCAATTTCAGTTTTCTGCATATGGATAGCCAGTTTTTCCCAACACCATTTATTAAATAGGGAATCCTTTCCCCATGCTTGTTTTCGTTAGGTTTGTCAAAGATCAGATGGTTGTAGATGTGTGGTGTTGTTTCTGAGACCTCTCTTCTGTTCCATTGGTCTATATATCTGTTTTGGTACGAGTACCATGCTGTTTTGGTTACTGTAACCTTGCAGTATAGTTTGAAGTCAGGTATCATGCTGCCTCCAGCTTTGTTCTTTTTGCTCTGGATTGTCTTGGCTGTACAGTCTCTTTTTTGATTCCATATGAAATTCAAAGTAGCTTTTTTTTCTAATTCTGTGAAGAAAGTTAATGGTAGCTTGATGGGAATAGCATTGAATTTATAATTACTTTGGGCAGTATGGCCATTTTTATGATATTGATTCTTCCTGTCCATGAGCATGGAATGTTTTTCCATTTATTTATGTCCTCTCTTATTTTTCTGAGCCGTGGTTTGTAGTTCACCTTGAAGAAGTCCTTCACAGCCCTTGTAAATTGTATTCCAAAGTATTTCATTCTCTTTGTAGCAATCGTGAATGGGAGTTCACTCATGTTTTGCTTCTCTGTTTGTCTATTATAGATGTGTAGGAATGCTTGTGATTTTTGCACATTGATTTTGTATCCTGAGACTTTGCTGAAGTTGCTTATCAGTTAGAGAAGTTTTTGAGCTGAAATGATGGAGTTTTCTAAATATAAAATCATGTCGTCTGAAAATAGAGATAATTTGACTTACTATCTTCCTATTTGCATACCTTTTAATTCTTTCTCTTGCCTGATTGCCTTGGCCAGAACTTCCAATACTATGTTGAATAGGAGTGGTGAGAGAGGACATCCTTGTCTTGTGCCAGTTTTCAAAGGGAATGCTTCTAGTTTTTGCCCATTCAGTATATTGGCTGTGGGTTTGTCATAAATAGCTCTTATTATTTTGAGATATGTTCCATCAATACCTAGTTTATTGAAACTTTTTAGCATACAAGGGTGTTGAATTTTATTGAAGGCCTTCTCTGCATCTATTGAGATAAGCATATGGTTTCTGTCATTGGTTCTGTTTATGTGATGGATTACATTTATTGATTTGCATATGTTGAAGCAGCCTTGCATCCCAGGGATGAAGCTGATTTGATCTTGGTGGATAAGCTTTTTGATGTGCTGCTGGATTTGATTTGCCAGTATTTTACTGAGGAATTTCACATCAATGTTCACCTGGAATACTGGCCTGAAATTTTCTTTTTGTGTGTGTGTCTCTGTCAGGTTTTGGTATCAGGATGATGCTGGCCTCATAAAATGAGTTAGGGAGGAGTCCCTCTTTTTCTTTTGTTTGGAATAATTTTAGGAATGGTACCAGCTCCTCTTTGTACCTCTGGTAGAATTCAGCTGTGAATACATCTGGTCCTGGGCTTTTGTTGGTCAGTAGGCTGTTAATTACTTCCTCAATTTCAGAACTTGTTATTGGTCTATTCAGGGATTCAACTTCTTCCTGGTTTAGTCTTGGGAGGGTGTATGTGTCCAGGAGGTTATCCATTTCTTCTAGATTTTCTCGTTTATTTGTATAGAGGTGTTTATAGTATTCTCTGATGGTAGTTTGTATTTCTGTGGATCAGTGGTGATATCCCCTTTATCATTTTTTATTGTGTCTACTTGATTCTTCTCTCTCTTCTTCTTTATTAGTCTGGCTAGTGGTCTATCTATTCTGTTAAACTTTTCAAAAAAAACAGCTCCTGGTTTCATTGATTTTTGAAGGTTTTTTTTTGTGTCTGTATCTCTTAGTTATGCTCTGATCCTAGTTATTTCTTGTCTTCCGCTAGCTTTTAAATTTGTTTGCTCTTGCTTCTCTAGTTCTTTAATCATGACATTAGGATGTCAATTTTAGATCTTTCCCACTTTCTCCTGTAGGCATTTAGTGCTATAAATTTCCCTCTGAACACTGCTTTAGCTGTGTCCTAGAGATTCTGTTATGTTCTGTCTTTGTTCTCACTGGTTTCAAAAAACTTATTTATTTCTCCCTTAATTTCATTATTTATCCAGTAGTCATTCAGGAGCAGGTTGTTCAGTTTGCATGTAGTTGTGCAGTTTTGAGTGTGTTTCTTAATCTTGAGTTCTGATTTGAATGTGGTCTGAAAGGCTGTTTGTTATGATTTCCATTCCTTTACATTTGCTGAGGAGTGTTTTACTTCCAATTATGTGGTCAATTTTAGAGTACGTGCTATGTGGCACTGAGAAGAATGTATATTCTGTTGATTTGGGTTGGAGGGTTCTGTAGATGTCTATTAGGTCTGCTTGGTCCAGAGCTGAGTTCAAGTCCTGAATATCCTTGTTAATTTGCTGTCTCATTGATCTGTCTAATATAAGGCAGTGGGGGTGTTAAAGTCTCCCACTATTATTGTGTGGGAGTCTAAGTCTCTTTATCGGTCTCTAAGAACTTGCTTTATGAATCTGGTTGCTTCTGTATTGGTGCATATATATTTAGGATAATTTGCTCTTCTTGTTGCACTGATACCTTTATCATTATGTAATGCCCTTCTTTGTCTTTTTTGATGTTTGTTGGTTTAAAATTTGTTTTATCGGAGACTAGGATTGCAACCACAACTTTTCTTTGCTTTCCATTTGCTTGGAAAATATTCATTCTTCCCTTTATTTTGAGCCTATGTATCTCTTTGCATGTGAGATGGGTCTCCTGAATACAGCACAACAATAGGTCTTGATTCTTTTCCCAATTTGTCAGTCTGTTTTTTAATTAGGGCACTTAGCCCATTTACATTTAAGGGTAATATTGTTACTATAAATTTGTTCCTGTCATAATGATGCTAGCTGGTTATTTTGCACATTAGTTGATGGAGTTTATTCATAATGTCATTGGTCTTTATATTTTGGGGTGTTTTTGCAGTGGCTGCTACCAGATTTTCTTTTCCACATTTAGTGCTTCCTTCAGGAGCTCTTGTAAGGCAAGGTGGTGACAAAATCCTTCAGCATTTGCCTGTCAGTAAACGATTTTATTTCTTTTTTGCTCATGAAGCTTAGTTTAGCTGGATATGAAATTCTGGGTTGAAAATTCTTTCCTTTTAGAATGTTGAATATTGGCCCCCACTCTCTTCTGGCTTGTAGGGTTTCTGCAGAGAGATCTGCTGTTAGTCTGATGGGTTCCCTTTGTGGGTAACCTGACCTTTCTCTCTGGTTTCCCTTAAAATTTTTTCTTCTGTTTCAACCCTGATGAATCTGACCATTATGTGTCTTAGGGTTGCTCTTCTCAAGGAGTATCTTAGTGCTCTTCTCTGTATTTCCTGAATTGGAATGTTGGCCTGTCTTGTTAGATTGGGGAAGTTCATCTGGATAATATCCTGAAATGTGTTTTCCAACTTGCTTCAATTCTCCCCGTCACTTTCAGGTATACTGATCAATCATAGTTTTGGTCTTTTCACATAGTCCTATATTTCTTGGAGGCTTTGTTCATTCCTTTTTATTCTTTTTTCTCTAATCTTGTCTTCACACTTTATTTCATTAAGTTGATCTTCAATCTCTGATATCCTTTCTTCTGCTTGATCAGTTCAGCTATTGATATTTTGTATGCTTCACGAAGTTCTCATGCTGTTTTTTTCAGCTCCATCAGGTCACTTATGGTCTTCTCTAAACTGGTTATTCTATTAGCAGTTCCTGTAACCTTTGATCAAGGTTCTTAGCTTCCTTGCATTGGGTTAGAACATGCTCCTTTAGCTCAGAGAAGTTTGTTATTACCCACTTTCTGAAGCTTACTTCTGTCAATTTGTCAAACTTATTCTCTGTCCAGTTTTGTTCCCTTGCTGGCAAGGAGTTGTGATCCTTTGGAGGAGAAGAGGCATTCTGCTTTTTGGAATTTTCAGCATTTTTGAGCTGGTTTTTCCTCATCTTCATGGATTTATCTACCTTTGATCTTTGATGCTGAGGACCTTTGGATGGGGTTTTTGCATGGGCATCCTTTCTGTTGATGTTGATGTTATTGTTTTCTGTTTGTTAGCTTTCCTTCTAACAGCCAGGCCTCTCTTTTGCAGATCTGCTAGAGTTTGCCGGACGTCCACTCCAGACCCTGTTTGCCTGGTTATCACCTGTGGAGGCTGCAGAACAGCAAAGATTGCTGCCTGCTCCTTCCTCTGGAAGCTTCGTTCCAGAGAGGCACCTGCCAGATGCCAGCTGGAGCTCTCCTGTATGAGGTTTCTGTCGACCCCTTCTGGGATGTTTCTCCCAGTCAGGAGGCATAGGTCCCTATCCCACTTGAGGAGGCAGTCTGTCCTTTAGCAGAGCTTGAACGCTTTGCTGGGAGATCCACTGCTCTCTTCAGAGCCAGCAAACAGGAACGTTTAAGTCTGCTGAAGCTGCGCCCATAGCTGCCTCTTCCCCCAGGTGCTCTGTCCCAGGGAGATGGAAGTTTTATCTATAAGCCCATGACTGAGGCTGCTGCCTTTCTTTCAGAGATGCCCTGCCCAGAGACGAGCAATCTAGAGAGGCAGTCTGGCTACAGCAGCTTTGCTGCGTTGAGGCGGGCTCCACCCAGTCTGACCTTCAGGGTGGCTTTGTTTACACTGTGAAGGAAAAACCACTTACTGAAGGCTCAGAGATGGTGGCTGCCCCTCCCCCCACCATGCTCAAGTGTCCCAGGTCGACTTCAGACTGCTGTGCTGGCAGTGAGAATTTCAAGCCAGTGGATCTTAGCTTGCTGTGCTCCATGGGGGTGAGACCCACTGAGCAAGACCACTCGGCTCCCTGGCTTCAGCCCCCTTTCCAGGGGAGTGAATGTTTCTGTCTTGCTGGCATTCCAGGCACCACTAGGGTACAGAAAAAAAAAAAAAAAAAAAACTCCTGCAGCTAGCTTGGTGTCTGCTCAAATGGCCACCCAGTTTTGTGCTTGAAACCCAGGTCCCTGGTGGTGTAGGCACCCGAGGGAATCTCCTGGTCTGCAGATTGCAAAAACTGTGGGAAAAGCATAGTATCTGGGCTGGAGAGCACCATCCCTCATGGCACATTCCCTCATGGCTTCCCTGGGCTAAGGCAGGGAGTTCCTTGACCCCTTGCACTTCCTGGGTGAGGTGACACCTCATGCTGCTTCGGCTTGCCCTCCGTGGGCTGCACCCACTGTCTAACCAGTCCCAATGGGATGAACCAGGTACCTCAGCTGGAAATGCAGAAATCACCTGTCTTCTGCATTGGGCTCACTGGGAGCTGCAGACCAGAGCTGTTCCTATTTGGCCATCTTGCCTTCAGTCAACTTTCCTCCTTTTTATCGACATTAGTTATTGGTGATTTGACCAGGAATATCTACTGGGGTATGATTTAGTAGCATATACCAGAAGGCACAAATTGCAGGCTAAATAAGATAGAGATGTAAGCCTCTCATGTTAAAGTTAGTCTGGAGACAAGAAGGGAAGAAGTGATATGGCAGTTCCATGTTAATCAGGGACTTAGGTTCATACAGTCATTTTAAATTATATTCCTTAATGCTTTACTTGCATACTCAAGACTTCCTCATAATCAAAGGAGGCTGTAGATGCTTCAGCTAGCATGTTCATACTCTAGGCAGGAAAGGGAGGGAAGATGGAAACAGAATAATTATGAAAATGTTTTCTTCTCAATTTACCAGCCCTCTTTAAGAAGATCTTCTCAATCTTCACCCAGCAATTAAGACTTATGGCATATTAGGCAACTATATTTGCTAAAGAAGCTAGGGAACTTTTTTGAAAAAAATACATTATTGGGTTATGTTGCCACCAGAGGTAAAAATCAAAATTTTGTTATTAAGGATAAAGAGAACAATGAATATTGGCTAGGCAACGAAAATCTCTTTTATAGACATATTATTTTATGTATACTTAAAAATAATTTTTAGCATTTGAAAATAGTTAATATTTTATTGTAATTTAGGTAATTTTATTTGATTTTGGGTCAAATTACAAGGATGTATTCAGGCACTGTCTCAGATAGCGGTCACCAAAATTTTCTTTTTGAGGTTGCTGACATATTTTTATAGTATGGTGGGAAGAACTCTTGATTTGAAATCAAGAGAATGTATATAGACTGGATGTTTGATTTGGAACCTGTATTACAACCTCAGTCAGTTTCCCAGACTCCAGAAAATAAGATAATGATTCATCCTTTAGGATTATTTTTTATGTAAATAAAAACATATAAAGAACAACACATTTAATCCTAAGTGAGAAATCTTAATAGGTGTGATGTGATCATATTATACATATTGCAATATATTTGAAAATGGCCAACTTAGTTTTGGAATCCCAAACAAACAACACATATAGTAAGATGTCTTTGAATAGTCACCTGATTCACCCTTAATTAATTGAAACCTACATGCCTTAAACAGGAAGTTGACTAACACAGTTTGACTAAAATAGAGTAGCTTAAATTTAAGTGCTAATATCACAAAAATTTAAGAATGTCATTTGCTTTTAGTTCTATATTGTGAACAAACAACCTAGCCTCTTTCTGAATCCCTTTCTACAGAAGAAGAAGAAGAAGAAGAAGAAGAAGAAGAAGAAGAAGAAGAACAACAACAACAACAACAACAACAACAACAACAACAAGAAAAAGAACAAGAAGACAAGAAGAAATAATAATAGGCAAACTTTATTACATGCTTATTATGTGTAAGGCAGTATTCTGTGCACTTTATATATTTCAATACATTTATTTTTTTTTAATTTAAATTAAGTTCAGGGGTACATGCCCAGGTTGGTTGTATAGGTAAACCTATGTCATAGGGTTTGTTGTAAAGACTCTTTTGTCACCCAGGTATTAAGCCTAGTACCCATAGTTATTTTTCCTGATCTCCCTCCTCCCACCCTCCACTGTCTGGTAGGCCCTAGTGTCTGTTGTTCCCCTTGCTGTGTCCATGTGTTCTCATCAATTAGCTCCCACTTATAAAAGAGAACATGTGATGGCAGCTATTCCACCTGGCTACATATAGTCAGCCATCTTGCCCTGACACCCCCATTTACTTTCATAAGTCTTTTGAGAAATAAAAGGTACTGAAATCTCCCAGTCGGCCCATAAATAAAAATGACCTACTGACTGTCTTCCTAAGGCAACCTGCAGCAATAGAAAATAAACCGGTTTCCAGCGGCTATTTTTGTTACTGTTAAAATGGTGTTCCTCCCAGAGAAGAGAATGAAGAACTTTGTTTCTTGTTTCTGTGGAGACCTAGGGGCTTCTAGAAAATCCTATTATTTTTCTCTCATGTTAGCTTTTTATAAATTCTAACACGAATAGTAAAATGTTCAGTATTTTCACCTTATTTTTATTTCTTTTACTTCTCTTATGGGTATTCCAAGGACAGGATTCAATATTAAATATGGCTTTTGTTTTATATGTAGATTGAGTTCTCTGTGTCAAGGCCCACTTATTTAGAGGGAAAATGGGATTCTATTTTTGGAATTAAATTGTTGGCCCTTAATCAGTCTAGCACGTTTCCATACTTCAGCACTGTTGACATTTTGGACTGGATGATTCTTTGTCTTGGAAACTGTTCTGTGTGTTGCAGGATATTTAGCAGCATTTATCAAGAGCGTCTACTTACCAGATGCCAGCAGCACTCCTCTGATATGACAACCAAAAATATACCAAAAGTGCAAAATCACCCCAGTTGAGAACAACTAGACTCTAGTAGTTTAGTTCAAATATAAAATGAAGCTTGATGGTGGGATCAATTTGATGACAATGAGAAAAAAAAGTTAATTTGGTTATTCTAAAAAGATTTTCCTTCAAAAAGCAATGTTAACTAAATAGACAGAACTGTTTTTTCTTTCTAAACTATATCAGAGGTGTATTAGATCATTTTCACCCTGCTGATAAATATATACCTGGAACTGGGAACAAAAAGAGGTTTAATTGGCCTTATAGTACCATATGGCTCAGGATGCCTTAGAATCATGGCTAGTCACTGGCCCCTTTCAGTCACGGCAGGAGCAGCTGGGACACAGGGCACCAAGTCCCTAGGCTGCACACAGCACAAGGACCCTGGGAGCAGCCCACAAAACCACTTTTTACTCCGGGGCCTCCAGGCCTCTGATGGGAAGGGCTGATATAAATGTCTCTGACATGGCCTGGAGACATTTTCCCCATTGTCTTTGAGATTAACATTCAGCTCTTGCTACTTATGCAAATTTCTGAAGCTGGCTTGAATTTCTCCCCAGAAAAATGGGTTTTTCTTTTCTGTCGAATAGTCAGCCTGCAAATTTTCCAAACTTTTATTCTGTGTTTCCATTATAAGACTGAATGCCTTTAACAATACCCAAGTTACCTCTTGAATGCTTTGCTGCTTAGAAATTTCTTTCTCCACCCAAATTCGTGATGCATTCCATATTTTTAGAAAAAAAAAAAAAAAAGAAATTTCTTTCTCCAGAAACCCTAAATCATCTTTCTCAAGTTCAAAGTTCCACAAGTCACTAGGGTAGAGGCAAAATGCTGCCAGTTTCTTTGCTAAAACATAACAAGAGTCACCTTTGCTCCAGTTCCCAACAAATTCCTTATCTCCATCTGAGACCACCTCAGCCTGAACCTTATTGTTCATATTGCTATTAGTATTTTCAGCAAAGCCATCCAACAAGTCTCTAGGAAGTTCTAAACTTTCCCATATTTTCTTGTCTTCTTATGAGCCCTCCAAACTGTTCCAACCTCTGCCTGTTACCGAGTTCCAAAGTCGCTTCCACATTTTTGGGTATCTTTTCAGCAATGTCCCTCTCTACTAGTACCAATTTACTGTATTAGTCTGTTTTCATGATGCTGATAAAACCTACCCAAGACTGGGAAGAAAAAGAGATTTAATTGGACTTACAGTACCACATTGCTGGGGAGGCCTCAGAATCATGGCGGGAGGTAAAAGGCACTTCTTATATGGCATCAGCAAGAGAAAAGAAAAGAGGAGGAAGCAAAAGTGGAAGCCTCTGATAAACCCATCAGATCCTGTGAGACTTATTCACTATCACAAGAATAGCATGGGAAAGACAAGACCCCATGATTCAATTACCTTCCCTTGGGTCCCCCCACAACCACAACGCATGGGAATTCTGGGAGATATAATTCAAGTTGAGGTTTGGGTGGGGACACAGCTGAACCATATCAGCAGGGGTTCTATGTACCTTACTTAAGCATTAGCCAAATATACAGCTTATTCTATGTATTTCCTATAAATATTTGTAAGAAGATTGTTAAATAGGAAATTTATATTATTTTTGCTACGTATAGGCCTAATAGTCACATAAAACAAATGTAATAGATTTACTTCTGCTCCATAACATGGTATATAGCAGGACAATAAAATATACCAATACTAGAAATGAATGAAACAGCAGAGCAAACTGAAGAGTCATTCTAAATCCAGACAGTCCTCAGAAGTTAGGGGTTCACAGAGTATTAATTCAAAATCAGAGTGAACTAAAAGCCACACATCAAGATGGAGTAATAGACTGAAGTCAGGCAAGCTGACAGATTTTAGAGAAGCAGTACATCTAGAGTTAGTGTACCTCAAGTTAGAGAGGAGCCCTATCTCACAAATGTAGATTTTTAGAGCCAGACTCAGCAACTGATATCCCAGGGCAGACTACTGTATAGCATTATCCATTTAGGGGATGCTGAAAATTACCAAGAACAGTTTAAAAAGATGAGGAAATATTTAAATGTATACTTAAAGACAGAAGAAAATGGTGACTACGTAATTCATATTTAGAGAAGATCAAATAGAAATACGACAGTACTCTATAAAGATACACAAAGTGAGGGGCACATAAACTAAATTAAATGACTGTACACTTACAGCTACTAAGAATAATATAAGTGAAATTTCCTGACTTCTTCTCTAGTGTTTTTCTTTTTTTTTTCTGTTGCTCAGTGTTTGTTTTAGACAAATAAAACATTTCTGATTTTAGCACAGAGGTTTATGCAGCATATTTTAAAAAGTGATTAGCTATATTTCTATGGCTATGGATAAGGTAATAGATTTTATCAATGAATGAAACTGACAGCAAGATGATTAGTGTACAGAAGAGTTTTTAAAAACACACTTTTCCTCCACATCACGTTTTCTTTTTTCTTTTTCTTTTTTCTTTTTTTTTTTTTTTTTTTTTTTGCTTATCTGGGAAATTACTCCAATTGTGAAAGTCATTTCCTTGGTACATATAATATTATTTGTATATTATCTCTTTACCATATCTTCAAGCATATTAAAGGATAAAATGTCTCTTTTGTGCTTTCCATGTTTTCATAAATCTTCCACATATTATATGTAGTATAATGTAAACAACATACATATTATATTATGTTATATTGCCAAGCAGAGATCTGACTTCACC
The DNA here is from genome assembly GCF_000001405.40 of Homo sapiens. Taxonomy (NCBI): domain Eukaryota; kingdom Metazoa; phylum Chordata; class Mammalia; order Primates; family Hominidae; genus Homo; species Homo sapiens. The sequence goes on from NC_000005.10 coordinate 85,593,798, forward strand.
AGTGTGGGCTGGCATTATCCAATCCCTAGGGCCCAAACAATGAACAAAAAGCCAGAAGGGCAAATTATCTCTCACTCTTTTTGAGCTGGGACATTAATCTTCTACCCTCAGACACTGGAGCTCCTGGTTCTCAGGTCTTCAAATTCTGGGGCTAATACCAGCAACCCCCTCCCTTCTTGGACCTTTGGGCTGGGATAGGTCATAAAACCTCTTGGGCTACATGAGAATTTAAACCAATTTTCATAGTAAATTTCATACACATACACACATATATGTATATATATGTATATTATATTTGTATATATAATGTTATTTGTTCTGTTTGTCTGGAGAATCCTGTCAGGGTTCTACACAACAACAATGAACCATTTCTCGAACGGTTTGTGATGTGAGACGAAAAGAGGATTTTATATGACAACCAGTGACAACCAGTTCAATGGTTGCACTGAAAAGAAGCTCCAAAGCACTTTCCAAAGCCAAACTTGCACCAAAAAGTGGTCATGGTCATTGGTGGTCTCCTGCCGGTCTGATCTTTCTAATCCCAGTAAAACCATTACATCAGAGAAGTATGCTCAGCAAATCGATGAGATGAACCAAAAACTGCAATGCCTGCAGCCAGCATTGGTCAACAGAAAGGTCCCAATTCTTCTCCATGACAACGCCCAAACCGCAAGTCATACAACCAACACTTCAAAAGTTGAACGAATTGGGCTACAAAGTGTTGCTTCATCTGCCATATTCACCTGGCCTCTTGCCAACCAACCAATGACTACTTCTTAAAGCACCTTCACAACTTTTTGCAGGAAAAACACTTCCACAACCAGCAGGATGCAAAAAAAAAAAAAAAAAAAAAAAAAAGGTGCTTTTCAAGAGTTCATTGAATCCCAAAGCATGGATTCTTACACTCCAGGGATAAACAAACATTTTTTGTTGGCAAAAACGTGTTGATTGTAATGGTTTCTATTTTGGTTAATAAAGATGTGTTTAATCCTAGTTATAATGATTAAAAATTCACAAGCCAAAACCGCAATTACTTTTGCATCAACCTATTTGAAGAATAATAGTATTCTAAATGCTCCTTGAAGCACAAACTAATAGTTAAGAGAGACCAGGGGATCCAAACTTAAGTATATTTCACATTAAAATCTTGTTCTTTTACTGTACCCAATGTTTATGGCCAATATTCCAACTATTTATTCTCTTAATCGTTTCCATTTGTCAAGTAAAATCAATTTGGAGATTGTGATTTCTTCAAATTAATGAAAAAGCAAATTAAATTCTATCAATGATAAGTTTAAATTATAAAGAATTTTAATCTTTACATAAGAGCTTCATTGCAACTAATAAAAATTTTCACCAGGAAATTATATTCATATTTGTGACAATTTTCTGTTTTATAAACCAATCAGTGTGAAAGAGAATCATTCCTTTACTCAATGTAAGTAATTTCAAGCTTAATTCTAAAACTAATGACTTAATTCTTGTTAGCATCCCTTTTCCTGTGCCCCTTTCTCCCTTCACATCATGGAATTGCAATAAATTTTACTCTATTATAGATTCTCATAATTGGAAAAATAAATAGAATATGAATCCTTACATTTTTTAATTTAAAAAAACTTAAGGTTAACCAATTTTACAAATCATCAGTATATTTTAGGCAATAGGTTAAAATTCAAAATTTTTATTTGAAAACTAAGTTGTTCTATATTAAGTAACTACAGATTGTGGGGGTAGATTGCACATACTTCTTTCTTTCCAGGCTCCCAGAAAAGTAATGCCATTGCTGGTTTCCCCTCTTGGTGAATTATTACAATATCAATAAGCAAAGAGTTTGGTCTATTGGGTTTCACCAAATCTGCTGATTAATGAACAATATTCTATATTTTCTAAGGTGTTGCAAATGTATTTTTCTACCATTGTGTTGTCAGTTATAATTAAACATAAAAGCGGCCTTCAAATGAGAAAGATCAATACATTATGAAGCTTTGGCTGGTACTTGCTGCCTAGGTAAAATAAGGCAACACACATTTCAATAATTCTTTCAAAAGCTGAGTTTGCCCTCTGCAAAAATTCTCACTGGACTCTTCTCTAGGAGTGATAGTCTTTGAAAACTGTTGAGTAATGAATGAGAGCTCATGATGAAAAGTTTCTCTTTCTTAGTCATTCACTCTATACTCTATCTGAATTCAGAACATTCCTATCATTCCTATGTTCTGTTCTGAACGCAAAACTTTACCCCTAACAAATATGCATTAGACAGAAAAACATATAATCCTCCTATGGTTTTAATGTAACAACCTATCCTAAATTCATGCTTCAGTGTTTGTTTGTTTTGTTTTTGTTTCTCTTTTCACTGAATGTGTTAACATTGAGAGTAAGGCACCACAGTACAATTTGGAGTGAATGGAGTGAAGAGAGTGTAAGCTTCTTCAGCACTGGAAAACAGGTGGAGAAATTGGAAAGTCTTATTGACTCTTTGAGAGGGTGTAATTCTTCAGCTTATTGTAAGAGCAGCTTGGCAGTGTATACCAAAATTTTAAACCAGCATTCCATGGTACCTTATTTTACAGAAGTATTCTCACTCTATATTAAGATATTTGTACAGCGATCCTTGTAGTAGCAGCATTTGTAATTATAATAAAAGTATTATCAATAAACTGAATGTCCATCAGAAGTGTCATGATTAAATAAATTATGTTAACTAAATGCTCTAGAATACTAAGGAGCCATTAAAAAGTCAATAAGATCTCTCTGTACTGATATGGATAAATTAATAACATGTTCACTGTTAATGAAATACAAATTGTGTTGTATTTATTTAATAAACACATGTAGTGCATACTAAGTGCTTTAGTTTAGATATTTGTCCCCACTAAATCTCATGTTGAAATTCAGTTCCCCTTGTGGGCAGTGTTGGAAGGTGGGGCCTAATAGGAGGTGTTTGGGTCATGCGGCAGATCCCTCATGACTGCCTTGGTGCCATTCTCCAGGGAGTAAGTGAATTCTCACTCTATTATTTCCTGTGCCACCTGGTTGTTTAAAAGAGCTGGTACCTCCTCCTTTCTTTATCTTGCTTTTCTCTCTCACCATGTGTTCTACACAAGCCAGCTGTCCTTCACCTCTGCCATGAGTGGGAGTAGAAGCTCCCTAAATCCCTCACCAGAAGTAGATGCAGCTTCTTGTACAATGTGCAGAACTATAAGCTAAATAAACTTCTTTTCTTTACAAATTTACCCAGTCTCAGGTATTACCTTATTGCTCTGTATAGCAACACAAATAGACTAAGACACTAAGCATCAGATACTCTTTTGAGTGTGTTACAAATATCAGTAGCTATTTGTTTCATAACAGCCTTATGAAGTGAGACCCCCATTTTCCAAAAGACAAAACTGAGTTATAGAGGTTAAGTCATTTGCCCAACACCACACTACTAAGAAGCAGGAAATAGATTGAAACCCAGGCAGTCCCTCTCCCGAATTTATCCTTTTATCAACGTGCTAAATCTCAGAACAAAATGTTGAAGGATTTCTTTTTTGTGAAAACATGACTATTTGTGTATATGTAATTATATGGATGCAATACATTTAAAAATGTAGCTTAGACACCAAACTGTAAATAAATTTTACCTCTAAAAAGGTCAAATGAATTGAGAAATTTTAAAAAATAAAAATAATAAAAGAATTTTGTTTTTAACTTCTGCATTGTATTAATTTTTAAAACTACTCTTAACAACACATAGTACTTGCTGTGGTTATTAAATAATTATTTTTAGTGGTACAAACACTCATCCTTTCCAGGAAGACTATTAACGTGCATCAGGTCATTATTTCAAGTCCTGCAATGTTTCAAAGAAGAGTAGGGCACTGAGATGCTGGACTTGGCCACATTGTTTCTTACTGGGTCAGGAAAGGAAGACGGAGTATTATTTCTATGATTATAAAGACCTCTCACAGAAAATTGTTGAAATGAGAATGACAAGACATTAACTATTCATATTTTTCCAATTTCAGGATATTTCAAAACAGTACATAGACTTAAATCCCAAGTTTTCTTTGAGATTAAAAATCCCCATGACTTCAAATGTGCCTGAAATAAATAACTTGCTACTGTTAGTCTTTTTTATTCTTACAGACTGATATGATGTGACTTTCAATTAATTAAAAATAAATCTCCTCAGAACTTTACATTAAAGTGACTTCCTGACAAAGGTGGCTAACATTAGACAGAAATCCAACTTCACTGCCTCCATAATTAAAAGGCTGAATAAGGCCTTTTCATGTACTAGATTCCACCTCAATTGTTTTATTTATAAATTAAAATGTCATTATAATTTTACTTCATTAATTCTTAATAGATGATTTGTAGTTGAACATGAAAATAATGATTATTTACAAGCTTTTTATTCACTTAAGTTTATACGTTGCTATTCTTCAAATGAGTACTACAAACGTAGCAAATAAAAATACAGATGTCCAGTTAAATTTCTAGTGCACATAAACAGATATTTTTGTTAATATAATTATCCCCATGCAATATTTGAGACAAAGTTCTAATAAAATCATTCATTTATCTAAACTTCAAATTTAACTGAGTGTTCTATATTTGTTTGGGGTTTATTAAAATTTAAATTTTTATATAAATATCTTGAAAATTTCCATGTTCTATCTTTTTATTTCTTGTTGTAGAATGTATTCTTCTATGCAAATTCAAATGTAATAATATTCAAATCTATATATGTGTATGTATGTTATATATTATATATATAAAGAGGTGCAGTGGATTGAGGAATTAAATATATATATAATATATATATGGAGTGTGTGTGTATATATAGATATACAGATCTATGAAATTTGTCATTCTATCTGGAATTGAGGAAAGCAGCAATACCACATTACCCAAGACATGCACTGAGAAGTTAGATAATGGTCTCCTATACTGCAGTTGACAACCAGACTTGACTTATATTTATACGTAGAGATCAACTGTATCAGATGTTCCAGATTGCTTTTACTCTCCATTCATATTTGAGTTAATTAAAAAGCTATGCTAAATCGAATAACTCAGAATAATTTCCAGTCTAGAAAGATGTTCAAATATACATTGATTTTCAAGCAAATATCTGAAATACCATGAACTTTTATAGTTTTATAAATAAAATATATATATGGTTTTATAGTTTTATAAATAAAACTATAAAAGTATGGCTTTATCCAGATGATCCCAGATGACATTCTATACAAGATTTTAGAGTCTTCCAAGTGCTAAGCATTTTGGCTTATCTAAGTAAAATGTGTGCTACTTTTATTTTTACAGAAAAACTCAAGGCTTAAATTATCAAACCAAAATTCTAAATGACATAGAAATAAAATTTACGATGTGATCACTGATACATTCATATACTTTGTAGTTTTGCACCAAAGTTTTGAAAACAATAATAATTAAAAATAAAATAAAATATTGAGTGATTCACAGCCTTTTACAATGTATTACTGAGTTAATATTAAAGAAAAATAGGAAGTTGATTAATTAGTATTCTTTACTGAACTACATGGTAACTTGTTCTTAGATCCCTACTTCCTCACTCACATTCCTTTGGATGAATGGACTGTTGCCCCAATCATCTAGATACAGAAAACACTAAAATGAATTTTTCCATATGAGGATATTATAATGATTTTACTGTCAAAAGTAGCAGATAACTCGCTGTCCTGCATGAGGTTATAACTTCAACTAGTCTGTTCCAAACTTCTTCTCATACTTTTTTAGTAGACAAATTTTCAACTTTGTTTGGTATATAGTTAACAGATTTACACAGAAAACAAAGTTAATTCATATGTTCAGTTGTGTACGTAAATATAGGAAATAGCATATTCTGAAGCTAAACATTACATCAGCACTTTCCTGAGGCATTACTATGGCTGAAATTAACATTAGTTATGCACAATAAAAAACCTAGGATCTCCAAAGACTTGGAACCAACCCAAATGTCCATCAGTGATAGACTGGATTAAGAAAATGTGGCACATATATACCATGGAATACTAGGCAGCCATAAAAAGGATGAGTTCATGTCCTTTGTAGGGACATGGATGAAGCTGGAAACCATCATTCGCAGCAAACTATCACAAGGACAAAAAACCAAACACCACATGTTCTCACTCATAGATGGGAATTGAACAATGAGAACACTTGGACACAGGAAGGGGAACATCACACACTGGGGCCTGTTGTGGGGTGGGGGGAGGGGGGAGGGATAGCATTAGGAGATATACCTAATGTAAATGATGAGTTAATGGATGCAGCACACCAACATGGCACATGTATACATATGTAACAAACCTGCACCTTGTGCACATGTACCCTAGAACTTAAAGTATTATATATATATATATATATACACACACACACACACACACACATATATATACATATATATATATGTATATATATATACATATATATGTGTATATATATATACATATATATATATGTATATATATATATATACATATATATATATACCTAAGATCTCCTCAAAATTAACTCAGAATAAATCACAGGCCTAAATATAAAATGCAGAACTATAAAACTCTTGGAAGACAACAGGAGAAAATCCTGGTGACCTTGAGTTTGGTGATAATAATTTAGACATACACCAAAGCCACTATCCAAGAAAGAAAAAACTGATTAAGTTGGACTTTATTAAAATAAAAAAAATACTGCTGTACAAAATATATCTTCAAGAGAATAAAAAGATAAGCCACAGACTTGGGGAAAATATTTTTAAAACATATCTTATAAAGGTCATTTATATAAAATATGCAAAAAACCCTGAAAGCTAAATAATAAGAAAACAAACCATGGGCCAAAGACTTTAACAGGCACCTCACCAAAAAAGATATACACATGAAAAATAAGAATATCAAAATTGCCCATTATGTGTCATCAGAGAAATAAAAATTAAAACCAAGAGATATGACTACTCATCTTTGGGAATGGCCAAAATTAAAAACACTGACACCACCAAAAGCTGGCAAAGATATACAGAAACTCTCTCATTCATTGCTGGTTAGGGTTGAAAATTGTATGGTCACTTGGGAGGACAGTTTGGCAGTTTCTCACAAAACTAACAACAGTATTATCAAGTAATCTTGCAATGGTATTCATTGCTATTTACCCAAGGTTGTTGAAAACTAATGTCAACACAAAAAACTGCACACGGGCAACTTTATTCATAATCTCCAAAACTCTCAGAAATACCCAAGATGTCCTTCAGTTGGGGAACTGATAAATGAACTCTACATCTGAGCAATAGGATATTGTTCAGTACTAGAAAGAAATGAGCTATCAAGCCATGAAAAGACATGTAAGATATTTAAATTTGCATTACCAAGTGAAAGAGGCCAGTCTGAAAGGGCATACGCACTGTGTTATTCCAACCATAGGGCACCTTGGAAAAGGCAAAACTGTGGAGACAGGAAAAAAAACAGTGTTTTCCAGTAGCTAGAAAAGAGGGATAAATGAATAGATGGAACGCAGAAAATTTTTAGGGCAGCGAAACTACTATGTATGAAACTATAATGGCAGATTCATTTGTACAAATCTATAGGAAAGAGTGAGCCCTAATGCAAACTTTGGATTTTGGGTGATAATAATATGTTAATGTAGGTTCATCAATTGTAACAAATGTATCCCTCTGATGGGGATGTTGATGATAGGGGAGGCTATGTATGTGTGGAGGCAGAAATCATTTTACCTTCTGCTCAATATTGCTATGAACCTAAACTACTCTAAAAAACAAAAATGAAGGCTGTTAGAAAAAAATCTTCCAGGCTAGAACTTATGTGTCTTCTTTCCAAAGAGCAGAACTCTGGGGCCTTTAATGAGAGGTCAATATCTCTAGAACAACCTCGATTTTATCCCTTCCTTCCTTCCTTCCATTCCTTCCCTTCTTCCTTCCTTCCTTCCTTCCTTCCTCCCTCCCTCCCTCCCTCCCTTCCTTCCTTCCTTTGTTCCTTCTTTCCTTCCTTCCTTCCCTTTTTCCTTGAGGAAAAAGTTATGTCTCATAATTGGTGCTGTCTTTCTGGCCACCTCAATTGGTATGTGGGTATGATATTCTATCCAAGCATTTTTCTTTCCGGGGCTTCATTTTTATTATTGTTTTGGGATGTCAGCCCTAATCAGATCTCACTTAAATGGCATCAGAGATTATCCGCACTCCAAATAGTTGCCAGGCAATAAAACTTTGAATATACTCTTCATCTGTTCTTATCAGAAAGAAAGAAAAGATTGGTAATATCTCAGGATATTACCTAAATATCCTGTGGCCCATTCATTCTTCTAGGTTCTCAATAAGTTATTAGGTTAATCTAGATCATCATATGTACCTGTCCTCTCATATATTATTTTGGGTGCTCTTGCTGAGCCACCCTTTAGTATTTTTTCAGCATTCTATAGTGAGGATTTTTTAAAACAAAATTGGATTATAGCCTTAAAATAATAAACAATTTATTATATTTGTCAACTTTTGGGTATTCCTATTGGATACAATTAGATGATAAATATTTGTACGAGAATAATAAAATTCTTTTCACATTTATGAAAAATAGAAAACATAACCATGCTTTGCCTAACCTCACTGTAAAATGAAAATAAAGCTACCTCCGTGGCATGTATTTGCATTCTTCTTTGAAATCTCCTATAAACAACATGATAATGTATTAAAATGAAGTGATATAATATGCCAAATTGTTATCATAGAAAAAATTAAGTCTGTTTCCAATTAAACACAAGTACCCCGAGAATCCTCTTCTAAGGATCTATGTCTGTCTTAATAATGAAATACAGATGTTAACTCTTCTATAGAAGACAAGATTGAAAATTAAATCACTACTTCTAATGCAGTTTTCTTCTTTCCTGATTATATTTTAAAATCTATATAGTTACTAAAATCTTCTTTACAATTTGCATCATTCAAATTGTCTCTTTTTTCTTTTGTATTCTACCTTTGAATATCTAAGTGAATCAAGAGCCATGGCCAAAATGCCAAGAGAACTATTACTTACAGAAAAAACAAGAGTAATAACTGTGGAGAGCTGTTGAGAAAATTAGCTAAAGCATACAAATAGTTTTAAAATATCTTGTTGCTTTGTCTTTAATGCTAAATTTTAATGCATTTTATTTGGCTAAATGAATGTTTCAGCAAAGCATAAAATCTCAATAACTGTAAGGAAAAAATAGCTGATATTGCTAATTTATATTTTAGTTATTTAATTTATACAACAGGATAATTTAACTTTTCTGACAGTGCTATCTATATCTGGATTAGAGATAATAACTACTAGCCCTTAGTTAAACACATTTTGCATCTCTCTGCTTCTTTTATCTTTCTCTTCACATCCTAGGCTTTTACTGTCTCGCTTTTCTTTCTTTCTTCTTTACACTCACCTAAAACCTACTGTCTAAATTCCAATTTATAAACATCCCTGGGTTTGTCTTAACACTAAAAAAAGAATTGATTTTTTTCTTAAATTTTTCACAAATTACAATTATTTTTTAAATTAACATGTTTATCTGAAATTACCTGTAGATTCATATCACCTTTGTGAATTTTTCCATAATGCATAACTTTAAAAAACATTTTTGCTTTATAAATATTTTTCATTAAATAGAAAACTATTTTTAAATACTTGAGCTCTGTTTCACAGTCATTGCATATTTTAATATTGTTCCACCTGCCTGCTGAATGACTCCAAACTCACTTCTTCTGCAGCACATTTGCTTCTCTTCTGTAATTTTCTTGCTTTAACTTTGCTATCAGCTTGCACAGAGGAGAAGTCTAATCTCAATATGCATTTTAATTAAATTTAATGCAAAAAATCAAAATATCTGCAAACACATAAAATTCTAAATTTGGAAAACGGACATTTGGATTCATTCATGGAAGGTCCTATGTGATTGGTAATATTAAAAATGTGAAAGGAAGGAATCTGTTACCCTAGCAGGTCCTGGGATCTAATGGGTAGTCATACCTCTTCAGGAAGTTGAAACAAATAAAGGTAAATCACAGCAAATATAGAGACCATTTGACCATTGTCCATATATTGGGCTACAGAGCAGGAACATGACGTAACAGGAATTAGAGGTGCATAACCAACTACTTGACATTTAGCAATCATTCATCCGGTGTCTTTTTTGAAAATAAAAAAGATTGCAAATTGCAAAATGGCACAGTCTAACATGATAATTTTTTCAGAGTAAGAAATGATGTTCCATTAAAATATGCTTATTAAAGTACTTGTGTGAAAATTCTTGAATCTCTACTCACATTAGCTCACATATGCCATTTAAAAAATCTAGTAAACATCCAAGAAAATTTAAACAAAAATAAAGGAATAGAGGAGAAGGAGGTGGGGCAAGGTTGCCAAATAGAAGCCTCTACCGATCATCCTGTCCACAGGATCACCAAATTTTAAAACTATCTATACAATAAAACACCTTCATAAGAACCAAAAATCAGGTGAGTGATCATAGTACTTGGTTTTAACTTCATATCAGTGAAAGAGGTACAGAAGAGGGTTAGAAAGACAGTCTTGAATTGCTAACCCCACTCCTTACCCAAACCCCTGCAGCAGCTACATGGCAGGAGAGAGAATCTGTGTCCTTGGGGGAGGGAGGGAGCAGTGACGGTGGGACTTTTCATTGGAACTCAGTGCTGCCAATATTGGACAGAACTCAGTTCATGCTCACAGAGGAAGCATTTATATGAGCCCTAGCCAGAAGGCAATTACCTATCCCAGTAGTTTCAACATAAGTTTTGGCAAGCCTTGCCACTGTGAGCTAAAGTGCTCTGGGGAACAAAATAAACTTGAAAGGCAATCTAGGTTACAATGACTGTAACTCTTAGTCAAGTCATGGTGCTGTGTTTAGCTCAGAGCCAGTGAACTTGGGGGGCTTAGGAGCTAGTGAGACCAGCTGGGTCCACAAAGAGGGTGTTTGTGCTCCTATCCGTGAACCCCAAGCAGTGCAGCTAACAACTCCAGCAGAGATTCTTTTCTTCCACTTGAGGAGAGGAGAGGGAAGAGTAAGGAGGATTTGTCTTGTGACTTGAATAACACCTTAGCCGTAGTAGGACAGGGCACCAGGCAGAGTCATCAGCCGCCCATTCCAGGCCCTATCACCCAGACAACATTTCTAGACACATCCTCAGCCAGAAAGGAAACCACTGCCTTGAAGGGAAGGATGCAGCCCTGGCAGAACTTAACACCTGATGAATAAAGAGCCAATGGGCCCTGAATAGTCAGCAGCAATAACCAGGTGTACATGCCATGAGCTTTGAGTGATATTCTGGGACACACTGACTCAGGTGTGACCTAGCGCACTCAAAGCTATGGTACTTACGAGGAGTGACTCCTTCTGCTTGAGAAAAGTAGAGAGAAGAGTAAAGGAGACTTCGACTTGCAGCTTCAGCCACTTCAGCCACAGACAGATAGAGTATCAAGCTGTTCTTGAGACCAGGTTGTGGCTCTCAATTCCAGGTGTGGCTCTTGGATGGCATTTCTGGACCTACCCTGGGCTAGAGGGAAACCCACTGCCCAGAAGAGTGAGTCCCAGGCTGGCCTGGCAGCATTAACCACAAGCTGATTAAAGAACCCTTGGGACATAAGTGAACACTGGTGATAGCCTGGCAGTACTCCCCATGGGCTTGTGGTAGTTGTAGACATGAGGAATGTCTCCTCTGTCTAGGGAAAGGGAAGGGAAGAATGGGAAGGATGTTGTCTTGTGGTTTGAGTGTGAATTCAACTACATCATTAGGTAGATTCCTAAAGTTTCCAACTCCAGACCCTGACTCCCAGATGATATCTCTGGATGGCCAGGGGCCCAGAGAAACTCACTGCCCTGAAGGGAAGGACACCAGCCTGGCTAGTTTTATCACTTGCTCATTGTAAAGCCCTAGGACCTTGAGTGATCATAGCCAGTAGCCAGGTTGTTGTGACTGTGGGCCTGAGTTGAGGCCCAGTGCTGTGCTGGCTTCAGTTCTGACCCAGCACAGTCAAAGCAGCAGGATGCTTGTGTCAGTTCTCCACCAGCTCCAGACAGCTCAGCACAGAGAGGCAGACTCTGTTTGTTTGGGGGAAATTAAGGGAAGAGAACAAGGATCTCTACCTGTTTATCCAGCACATCCTTCTGGGTCTTATCCAAGACCACTAAGGAAAACTCTGCAAGAACCACAGTGTTACTGGGCTTGTGGTGGTCCCTAAGGCAGAAATGGATGCAGTGACCAAAAATTTACAATACTCAAGTCCCTTTGAATGTCTGAAAAGCCTTCTCAGGAAGGACAGGTACAAAGAAGTTCAGACCGCAAAGACTGAAAAATACTGAACTCTTCAATGTTCACAAACTGATAAACATCCACATTCATTGAGACAATCAAGGAAAGCATGACTTCACCAAATGAAATAAATAAAGCACCAAGGACCAATCACAGAAGGACAGAGATATGTGATCTTTCAGACAGAATCCAAAATAGCTGTTTTGAATAAACTCTACAAAATTCAATGTAACACAGATAAGAAATTCAGTATCCTATCAGATAAATTTAACAAAGAGATTGAAATAATTATATAGAATCAAGCAGAAAATCTGGAGTTGGAAAATGCAATTGACATACTGAAGAATGTGTCAGAGTCTTAACAGCAGAACTTATTAAGCAGCAGAAAAAATTATTGAACTTGAAGCCAAGCTATTTGAAAATACAGTCAAAAGAGACAAAAGAAAAAAGAATAAAAAACAATGAAGCACAACCTCAGTATATAGAAAATAGCTTCAAAAGAGCAAATCTAAGAGTCATTGGCTTTAAAGAGGAAGTAGAGAGAGAGAGATAGGGGTAGAAATTTTATTCACAAGAATAACAAGATAGAACTTCCTAAACCTAGAGAAAGATATTAATATCCAAGTACAAGAAAGTTATAGAACATCAAGGAGATTTAAGCCAAAGAAGGCTACCTAAGATCATTTAATAATTCATCTCCCCGACATCAAGAATAAGAAAGGATCCTAAAAGGAGCAAGAGAAAAGAAACAAATACAATTTATCTCCAATACACCTGGCAGCAGATTGTTTCAGTGGAAACCTAACAGGCCAAGGGAGAGTGTTATGACATATTTAAAGTTCTGAAGGAAAAAAAGGCATTTACCCTAAAATAGTATATCTGGTGAAAATATCCTTCAATCATGGAGGAGAAATATAGCCTTTCCCAGACAAACAAAAGCTGAGGGATTTCATTAACACCAGACCGGTCATACAAGAATGCTACAGTGAACTCTTTGATCTAAAAGAAAAGGATGTTAATGAGCAAGAAGAAATTATCTTAAGGTACAAAACTATTTTGTAATAGTAAGTATACATAAAAACACAAGACATTATAACACTGTATTTATTGTTTGCAAACTCTTCATAATTTAAGTAGTAAGATAAAAAGATGACCCAATCAAAAATAATAACTATGACAACTCTTCAAGACATTGACAATTACAGTAAGACATAAATAGAAACAACAAAGTTAAAAAGTGAAATGACAAAGTTAAAGTGCAGAGTTTTAATTAGTTTTCTTTGTACTTGTTTGTTTATGCAATCATTAAGTTGCTGTCCATTTAAAATAAGGGGCTATAAGAAATTATTGGCAAGGCTTACAATAACCTCAAATCTAAAAACACAAAGATATACAAAAAAGTAAGAAATTAAAACATACCACATGAGAAAATCCCATTCCCTAAAACAAAGACAAGAAAGAAGGGAGGTAAAGAGGGAAGAGAAAGAGGTAAGGGGGAAATGGGGGAAGGGATGGAGAGAGGAAAGACCACAGAACAGCCAGAAAACAAATCACAAAATGGTGGCAGTAAGTCTTAACTTATCAATAATAACATTGTATGTAATTGGGCTAAAGTCTCCAGTCAACAGACATAGAGAGCCTGAATGGATGAAAAACACAAGACCCAATGATCTGTTACTTGCAAGAAACACACTTCACCTACAATGATACACATTGACTTAAAATAAAGGGATGGAAAAAGATATTCTATGCAACCAGAAACCAAAAAAGAGCAGGAGTAACTGCACTTCATATTAGTCAAAATAGATATCAAGACAAAAGCTATAAAAAGAGACAAAGAAGGTCATTATGTAATTATAAGGGGGTCAACAGGGCAGGAGGATATAACAATTTTAAATATATGTGCACCCAACATTGGATCACCCAGTTATATATAAATCAAATATTATTAGAGCTAAAGGGAGAGATAGATTCCAATACAATAATAGCTGGAGACTTCAACACCCCACTTTCAGCATTGGATAGATTATCCAGACAGAAAATCAACAAATATCAGACTTAATCTGCACTGTACACCAATTGGACCTAAACAGATATTAAGAGAACATTTCATCCAATGGCTGTGAATAGACATTCATCTCTTCAAGAAATTGATCATTCTCAAAAATAGACCATATGTTAGGCCACAAAACAAGCCTTGAAATATTTAAACATTTGAAATAATATAAGGTACCTTCTCCGAACACAATGGAATAAAACTATGAATCAATGATGAGAGAAATTTTTGGAAACTATACGAACACATAGAAATAAAAAAGGAACATGAAAAGCAAACAATATTTGTTATTTTTTCCACTTTTTGAGTCACATTCAGCACAAGCCTCATTGAAGTTCACACACACATATATATGTGTCATATATATGTGTCTGTCATATATGTGTCATATATATGTGTCACACATATATGTGTCATATATATGTGTCATTAGGAGTTATAAGGATTATTTAGGAAATAGCCTCTATATCGTAATCTGATGCTCTGTAGAATTTAATGAACACCATTATCTTACTGAGGACCTAGTCTACAGGCAGCTATTGTCATTTTATTACTTACCATTGCACAGAATTTTCATTTGGACTTATACTAACTCTTCCTGGAATCTTCAGAAAACAGTTGTTCTTGAAACCACTCTTGCGTGATACTTGCACATACTAATGGTATAATTTTTTAACATATTCAGATAAAAACCAAGGGATAGAGTGACAAAGGGTAATTTTAACAGAAGTTAAAGCTGCAGTTTGCTTCTTAATCTATTTTGCTCCCTAACAGTCTGAAAGGTGCATTTACAGTAAGAGCATAAAAAAGACAGTTGTGTCTTAGCTGGAAATAACAACCCTTTCAGGACTCATTATCAAGAATCTCATGTTCTCATGGGAAATTGCCATTGGAATTAGTGCCAATCTTTAATTAGATAAATGACCCAAGTTTTAAATTTAAAAAGCCAAACTAGGCAAATGCAATATTCATAGCATTAAAATTAAATTATCAATTAAATGACTGACTTTATTTTATAATTAATATTAAAATGATATTTTAATATGAAGAGAGAAAGCTGCTTTCTACTCATCTTGAAAAGTATAGGAAAATCATGTAACATTATCAATTTCTCTTATATCAATTAGTGAATTATTATAATCTCATTACAACCTTTCATATTATTAGAGAGATAGCTTACTGTTTGTGAAATGTAAAGAATAATGTATGACATTTGTCTGTTTCTGATCCAGCAAATGGCTATGGAAAGCAAATGAGAAAGAAAGATAGATCAAAACTTTATATGTAATATTTCAATATTATTTCAGCCTAAATATTACGTGAATTGAATTATTATATAGATGTTTTAAAGGCTTTAAAATTAACAGTCACATAGAGAAAGGGGGAAAATAGAAAGTAGCAGAAGAAAGTTGGGCAAAATTCCAAGAAAGTTGGAATGTTTTTAGATTTAGATAGAAGAAGAAGGTTTTGCTTCTGTCACATTTTGTAATAATTTTGGGAGTAAAATTATTCTCATGTTTTGACAAAAGAAGTTGAAATTATACATTAAAAGTGTGATATAATACTTTTTTAATCCTTAAATATGAGAATAACTAAATAAATTTATTGGGTTATTTGTTTATTCAAAACAGAAAACTAAGAATTATTTGCCTAGATGTTCTACCACACACTCACACTCACACACACACATACACAACACAAATAAACATACCAACAAACAAACAAAAATTTTCTAAATCTGCCCTTAAAAGATTACAAATTATTTTGAAAGTAAATATGTAAATGTCCTGAAAGATGAAAATATCATGCCTGTAATTTTTCTAACTCTCGTAAAAAGTACTAAGGATTTGTTTAGGACAAATTATGAAGTTGAACACTTAGAATTATTATGACTTTTGGAATGAAACATTACACACTGTGTAAAGAAGTACTAAATTATTTATTTAAAATGTGGATTAATGTGGATATTACTATTTTGATTGTGATGATGAATTAACAGTTGTATACACGTCAAAACTCATCAAATTGCACACTTTAAATATGTGTAACTAATATCATGTTGATTATAACTCAATAAAGCTGTACAAATGTGAAGAAAACCTGAATTGATGGTAGTATATCAGTTTAAAAGAGACAAAATGTGGTTCAGGTATCCTACCTAGGATAATTATTGCAATTGTGAATTTGATTGAGGAAGACCACTTACCTAAGCTATTGCCTTGAATATTAAGAAAGATGTCAGATTCCTAATTTATTTTAATAGCAGAATCAAATAATCTAATAATGAATTTATTTGGGGTGGTTGAAGAAAAGGAGAATGTCAGGTATGAGTTTTATGTTGCTTGAGTACAATAGTAGATGGAGGTGCCATTCACTGACAAGTTAGCATATATAGGAGGGAAGAAGATTTGGAGTGGTGAGGGGGAAATCCAATAAAGAACTTAGGTTTTGTCTTGTTTATGGTGGCTAGTAGATCTAAAAGAAGAAGGCAATCAAATATGTGAATTTGCAGTCCAAAAGACTAGCCTCAGTTTGGAGTCCAAAAGACTAGCCTCATGAGAAATTCCCTCTTGGGAATTTGGCAGTGCTTGTCATAGTGATGAAAGAACACAATAAAACAAGAGGAAAAAGGAACAGTATTTTCCCTCAAATAAATGGAAAGGGATTAGCCAAAGATGTAGGTAAGTAGAAAATTATCAAAGTATATTTTGACAATATAAAATGAACAGTTTACACAGGGCTGAACTGTTAAATATTTATGATGAATGAAAAGTGATCAACATAGCAACATCATGCTCAGAGATTAAGAAAAGATACCTAAATTATTTTTTAATCTAAAAAACTCAAAGAAAACAAAATAAATATTTTATTCTTTAAATTAGATAAAAATACATTTAAATAATTTCTGTTTCATTTTTGTATTGAAAATAATACCTTTATTTGGGACACTATTTTTCAAATGCTCTATCCTCAAGGCCTCCTTTAGAGTGCCATTATAATAACACTGTAGGACCCTGTCTCCTTTTCATCACTGATGGGTACAGTGGGAGTCCTAATTAGGAATCCTAATCCCAACTAAGCCAATTATACTTTCCTACAATTTTTGAAACTATAAGTGTGAAAGTGAAATCAGATGATCTCAAGGAGCCTAAAGTTGAGGACTAGTTAACAGTTACCACTCTTGGCAGAACAATTGGTTAATAGGAACAGAGATGATTGAAGTAGGCACAAAAAAAGCATTACATAAGACTCCTTCTCACGTATTTCATTATTCATTCATTCATGAATAAAATATTTAGTTCATGCTTGTTATTTAAAAGTCACTGTAATAAAGGACAGGAATTTGGCAGTGAACAAAACCAACAAAGTCTTTGTACTTATGGAGCTTACATTCTTTTACCTGGCATATATTTTAGCCTTGGTATTCCATGTAACACTTTAATTTTATTATAATAAGTTCCTCTTTATAAGGTAATTTCAGGTGCGTTTTAGTTCAAATCTGAAGAGACATGCACACTAAAGATGAGACATCAGTCTTAATAATATTAGGAACTCGAATAAGTTGGGGAAATTTGAGTGGAGTCTGCGGAACAATGGCAATAATGTGTCAATTTTAAATTTTTTATTTTTTAACAAGGTTTTTTGTAATACGGGAAAATGCCTCTAATTTATAGGAATTGCACACAAAAATATTTTGGAGGAATGGAGTATCATGTCAAGAACTCACACTTCAATGAATATAACATTTTTTATATTGCAATTTAACAGGTGGTTGATATATGAGTAAAATATTTATAGCATGTACTCCAGACACAGGGGACTAATGAAAGTGAGGAACTATAGATGAGAAAGTCCAATAGAAGCATGAATAAAAAATAATATTAGACAATTAAGTATAGAAAAGGTTAGTCAAACTAATTAGTAAAGATGAGAATGCTAATTAAAGAGAAAGAGAAAAAAGAAGTTGGGACAGAGAGAGAGAGGGAGAGACTACTCTATATTCTACAAACTTGACAATATTTTCATTTTAAATGCAGATATAGTACTGTATAATCTGCCAAATGGAAAATGTATTTATTTTAAATATGAATAATATCAAGATATCAAGTGCTGGCAATGGTATAGGGAAAAAGACTCCTTTATTCCATCCTGGTAGTATGATAAATGATTCGCCCATCCTATGAAGTGATTTTGTAATTCTCAATTATATGGCAATTCTGCTCATGGATATGTAACCTAACTAATCAATTAATGTATTTATTTATGGTATACACACACAGACACACACATATATTCAAAAGTAACATATATAAGGATGTTAATTGCAATATTACCTATAATAGCAAATAGTATAAGCAAACAACTATAACATTAGATAGTTTAAATGTATGAAAATGAATGACATCTCCTAAAAGAAGTAAGATACATGAATTAAAACTATGTATATCAATATGTATTGATTTTAAGTATGTTGACAAAAACTGGAAATAGAGGTATAATGCATAAATATATTTTTGCTAGCTTATTACACAAGCTTGATTGTGTAATAAGGAATGTGGGCTAAGGAATGTCAGGATGTAGTCTTAGTGACTGAGGATAAAGGGAATTAAAAAAATCAAAACATGTATCGATCAAGCCAAATTTATTCACCTGTCACCTAACAACCACCACAATTATCTAGGCTTTCTTTACTTACAGATCAGGAACCACTCTTTGTGGCAAATTTTTAAAGTTCTTTGGAAACTTTATAATTATAATTATGCTTTCCTATTCTGGATGATTTCTAAAATTATGCCATAAATCTACAAATCTGATCTCTATTAGAAGGCAAATAATGCTGTAATAAATCAACACTTAAAATGTCAGAATTACTCAGTTCAATTTATTTCCATTTCTTTCTAGAAAGTTGTTTTAAAAGCAGAATAAGAAGACATAATGAAGACACTAACTATCACAAGATTGTGATCTTCTGGGCTGTGGCAACTAAACATATTTAATCTTTCTCTCTTGGTGCCTTATATATAGGTCCTCAATATATATTTGCTTTATTAATTAGTAAATAAAGTTTAAAAGTTCAAGACAGAGAAAATGGAGATGGTATAACTTTTGACAAAATATATTTAATAGTAATTAGAAATGAACATAAATATGTTCATTACTTATTACTGATCAGGATTCAGCACAACCTGAAAAATCAGCTGCTTAGACATGAATTACTGAAAACAACTTTCACACATTATTGGGCTGATAATTTTTAATTAAACAGACTATTTGTGTGGCTATGACTTGAACAAACATTATTTTGGTGATTATTTTTAAGATGGTCTCAATGAAGAAAGTGGCATTACAATACTGCTTAAAAGTACAGGGTCTGGAAGCCAAGTTACCTTGTTTTATATCCATATCCCCCTACACAGCAGCTGTGTGACTTTGAGCAGGCTGTCTCATCTTTCAAATGGAAACAATAATATCTACCTAAAAGTTTTTTTTTTTCCTTTGGCAGGGGATGTGTTAAACAAGTTGATATTTGCAAAAATCTTAGAAAAGTGTCAGGCATGTAATAAACATTATGCAAGTTTTTGCATTAATTACTATTATGCTTTTGAGCAGAGTAATTGCTGAAATGATTCACAATATATTAACCAGGCTAAGCAGAAGACACGTTGACTCATGAAACCTACAGCCATCTTCCTCCAATTCTATCTCTATTCCTGAATATAATTCCATGCTACACTCTCATTCATTCCTTTTTACCTATTCTTTTCAGAGCTGCTTTCTAAATTACTTACAAATTAGCTTCTATCACTAAAATTTATAAGGCCATTGAAATGAATGCACATAGTCTCAACTTTTTGTTCATTTTTTTTTATATTCTTCTATGGTGTTTGCACAGAGTCAATGCATAATTAAACCAGTTGACTAAATATAGTAAAAGTGTTTCAGATGCTAGAGCCATTTCTATTTTTGCTTATGTGTTTTAAATACTGAGAAAAATGTTTTATAATAATATTCACTCAATTATTTGATATTGAATAGTATTCTATGCAAAATCAGGAAATTAATTAGTATAGAGTTGGTATTTATAAAGTTATATAAATTTATTAGATCTAATACATATAGATTCTCATGTTATAATACATATATATTCTTTGGCTATTTGGAAACACAGATAACCAATTCCAAGAAAGAATATGATTACACAATCCACCATCATGCCACCTAAGATTATACAGTGCTGTTGAAAAGGAAATAGATTTCTGGGTATTTTCTATGTGTATATGACACAAATGTTTCTATAAACCCATTTGTAACATTGAATGAAATAACTTCATGCTGAGTAATGCTTTAACTAACCATTAACATGATTCAAAAAACAATAATGTGATTTGGGTTTGTTGCAAGAGCCATTTCTACTTATGATGCTGGAGAAGCTCAGCACACCTAACGGAGGTGTCTGACTATTTGCTTTAAAATATTGCTCACAACAAAGGAATTTCACAGTGACATTTCTTATGTAGTGCTGACAATAGCATCATATGCTTCATCTTATGGAGTGCTTAGTAATCAGATGTTCAAAAGCATTCAGCCCTAGTCAACAGAAGGAAGGGTGATTTCAATGACAGAATTGATAATAAATGTCCTCCCGGCGAGCATTTACATAATCATGGGAATGGAAAGGATCATTACTTGTCATTTATTATTTTACTATGTCCTTTGGAAAATACTATAGATGAATCTATTCATCCATCCTCCTCTACAGATTACACTAATGGTGCTCATCTTTACAAGCCACTTTGTAATCTCCATAATAAGAACAGTTTAGACTCTGAAAGAAACCTTTATTTATCTAATTGTTAAACATATTTTAATGATATAGCTAAAAAATAACACGGATTCAAGAAACATTCTTTAATAGGGTATGTGTCCTTATATGCATTTCTTTTCTTAA
Organism: Homo sapiens; assembly: GCF_000001405.40. Lineage (NCBI taxonomy): Eukaryota > Metazoa > Chordata > Mammalia > Primates > Hominidae > Homo > Homo sapiens. The sequence goes on from NC_000005.10 coordinate 85,615,137, forward strand.
GGTTAAATAACTTTAGGGAAGAGTCCACTCTGAATTGCAAAATGCAATTTGTCTTTAGTTCTTTAATATCCTATGTTACTAGTTCCTTGATATATTTTATTTGAAATATGATTAAATACTTCTTTCTAAATATATAATTTATGTCTATGTGAGATACATAACAAAGGAATCAAAGATCAATAATTAAAAATATTTTGTCGATGTGTTGTTAAATATTGTAATATGTTTGTAGTAACCCCTAAATAACTTTCTGCTTACTTCTCTCCATTGTGCTGTGAAAGGTATACTACCCAAGTGACCAACTATAGAACTGATGCTTCTTCTGACTCTTTCCTGAGGTGGTTTATTTGCTTCTGAGTTGGACCATCAACTGGAGTAACTGCAACTAGTAAAACCTGCTCTCAAGCCATATTTTATAATTGTAAATTAGTTTTTCCAAACCACCCATAATCAAATAGATTACCTCACTGAATACACACATACACACTTGTTAGAGTATAAACTTGAATTCCCTCTGTCTCCACGTGTGTGTATATACATATACATATACATATGTATGTATGTATGTATGAGTCCATTCTCACCCTGCTATGAGGAAATATCTGAGTGCCTGAGATGGGGTAATTAATAAAGAAAAGAAGTGTACTCACAGTTCTGCTTTGGTGGGGAGGCTTCAGGAAACTTAACATCATGGTGGAAGGCAAAGGAGAAGCAGGCACTTCCTTCACATGGTGGCAAGACGGAGAGAGTGCAAGCAGGGGAAATGACAGATACTTATAAAACCATCAGATTTTGTGAGAACTCACTCCTTATGGTGAGAACAGCATAGGGGAAACTGCCCCCATGATCCACTTACCTCCACCTGCTCCCATCTTTGACACATAGAGATTACAGGGATTTCAATTTGAGGTGAGATTTGGGTGGGAATACAGAGCCAAGCTATATTATTCTGCCCCTGATCCCTCAAAAATCTAATGGCTTTTTATATCTCAAACCCAATCATGCCTTCTCAACAGTCCCCCAAAGTCTTAAATGGGCTTAACTCATTTCAGCATTAACTCAGAAGTCCACAGTCCAAAGTTTCATCTGAGACAAGGCAAGTCCTATCTATCTTTGAGCCTGTAAACTCAAAAACAAGTTAGTTACTTCCTAGATACAATGGGAGTATGGGCATTGGATAAATACTCCAATTACAAATGGAAGAAATTTGCCACAACGAAGGTGCTAGAGGCCCCATGCACGTACAAAATCCAGAAGGGCAGTCATTAAACCTTAAAGTTGCAAAATGATCTCCTTTGACTCCATGAGTCATATCTACATTAAGTTGATGCAAGAGGTCACCATCCAAGGCCTTGGGCAGCCCTGTCCCTGTGGCTCTGCAGGGTGCAACCACACTCCTGGCTGCTTTCACAGGCTGGCATTGAATGTCTGGAGCTTTTCCAGGCTCAGTGCAAGCTGTTGGCAGAGCTACCATTCTGGGGTCTGGAGAATGGTGGCCATCTTCTCACAGCTCCACTAGGTGGTGAACCAATAGGGAATCTGTGGGGGGACTCCAACCACACATTTCCCTTCCACACTACCCTAGTAGAGTTTCTCCATGAGGCCTCCACCCCTATAGCAAACTTCTGCCCAGATATCCAGATGTTTCCATAAATCCTCTGAAATCTAGGCAGAGGTTCCCAAACCTCCATTCTAGACTTCTGTGTACCCACCGGCTGAACACCACATGTAAGCTGCCAAGGCTTGGAGGTTGCACCCTCTCAAGCAATGGCCTGAGCTGGGATGCAGGGCACCAAGTCCTGACTGCACAAAGCAGCAAAGCCCTGGGCCTGGACCAAGAAATCATTATTTTCTCCTAGGCCTCTGAGCCTGTGATGATAGGGGCTTCCTCAAAGATCTCTGACATACCCTGGAGACATTTTCCCCACTGTCTTGGCAATTAACATTGGGCTCCTTGTTACTTATGCAACTTTCTGCAGCAGGCTTGAATTTCTCTCCAGAAAATGCGGTTTTGTTTTCTATAGCATCATCAGGCTGCAAATTTTCCAAACTTTTATGCCCTGCATCCTCTTGAACATTTCATCACTTAGAAATTTCCTCCTCCTCATCTCTCTCAAGTTCAAACTTCCACGGATATCTAGAGCAGGGCAAAATGCTGCCAGTTTCTTTGGTAAAGCACAGCAAGAGTCACCTTTGCTCCAGTTCCCAATAAGTTCCTCATCTCCATCTGAGACCACCTCAGCCTGGACTGCATTGTCCATATCACTGTCAGCCTTTTGGTTAAAGCCATTCAACAAGTCTCTAGGAAGTTCTGAACTTTCACACATCTTTCTATCTTCTTTTGAGCTCTCTGAACTGTTTCAATCTCTGCCCATTACCTAGTTGCAAAGTCAATTCCACATTTTGGTTATTTTTATTGCAGCCCCTCACTACCTCAGTACCAATTTACTCTATTAGTCCATTCTCACACTGGTATGAAGAAATACATGAGTACCTGAGTTGGGGTAATTTATAAAAGAAAGAGGTTTAACTGACTGACAGTTTCACAATGCTGAGGAGGCCTCAGGAAACTTACAATCATGGTGGAAGTCAAAGAAGAAGCAGGCACCTTCATCAAAGATGGCAGGATGAATTCAGTGCAGGCAGGGGAAATGCCACATGACTATAAAACCATCATATCTTGCTGGAACTCACTATTATAGAACAGCATGGGGGAAACTGCCCCCATGATCCAATTACCTACACTTGACTCTGCCTTTGACACATGGGGTTTATAAGGATTACAATTTAAGGTGAGATTTGGGTGGGCACAAAGAGCCAAACCACAGATAGAAAGAGCCAAACCATAGATAGGCAGCCCTTGACACATGGGGTTTATGAGGATTACAATTCAAGGTGAGATTTGGGTGGGCACAAAGAGCCAAACCATAGATAGATAGATGGTAGAGTATCTTACATTAGAAATATGTGCACAAGAAAAGAGGCGAGACAAAGCAAAACATAGAATACGGGTCACAAATGAAGGAAACTATAAAATACATCCTGAAAGAATACAACATTAACCTCAGCTACTTGCAAGGTATAAAGTAAAAATTTTAAAATTTTGATCACATGCCAAAGTATTTCTATTCAATAGCTTAAATATATATAAAAGATATACAAATTTTAAGACAAAAGACTACACCTGATGCTAAAGAGAAGAAAACAATTTACATTCTTATAAAGATGTCATTAAGAACAAAGTTATGATTAACTCTATTAATAAATAATGCATTACCTTATTTCTTTCTATCATGTTATTGAATGCATACTGATAAGAATCCCATAAAAATATATTTTATAGAAATATACATAATTTTCTGTGTTTGGCCCTTCAATAACATACTATAACCATGACTTAAAATTTTGCATATGATCTATGTATGGCTCTTACCTACTGCTTCTTGTAAACAAATTGGGTCGGTAATGACCTCAGGAATGTGGTTATTGCTTTCAATGGAAATACAGATTTATTGAATTATCATTTCAGTCTTAAACTTACCTGGATTTTTATAAAGAATTTTCTAGAGTTGTTACCTATTTCCTCCCTTTTTCCACTACGATATTTCATAGCAAACTCTCAGAATTCACATGTGAAATCCTAAAAGCCAAAATCTCTGTAATACCAAGGCTTTCGGGAAACTGTACAGTGCAAATAAAAATAAGTAGAATATTAAAATTTGCATTCAAATTAATATAAATATGTTTCTGGGAGAATGAATAATCATTTATGCAATGCATTTAACTAATTTTATATGATAGCAGTCTGACTTTTAGAATATAGAAGTCAGTTAACAGATTTTTCTTGTCCTAGTTCAGAACTTTTGTGCACCTGTGCTTCTTCCATAAAACAAAGAAAAACTTGTTGTGACTAGTCGTAATTTCAGCCATGGAGTTCCACACGTTCTTTGGTTTATATGATAGCAGTATATAGCATAGAGCAGTGGATTAGAGCACATACTCATGAAAGGTGCAAACAATGTTGATCTTAATCTCTGCACCACTTACTACCTTTGGCTTTAGGCAAGTGAATTGATCTGTCTACTCCTCAATTTCTTCAGTTATAAAATGGAAATAATTAGGAAATATTCACCTTGGATTTGTGAGAATATTCACCATGGAATTATTATGAGACCTAAATGAGATATTGAATTTAAGATAGGCCTGGGACAAGGAAGTAAAATGTATAGATAAAGCAATAAAATGAGAGTTTTATCTGAAGCATCATGATAAAACAAACTAAAATTCCAAAGTGAAAAAAAGTTACACATAAATAGTGACTGTTTTCACAACTTTTCAGTCTTTCATTCATATCCAGAACAGCAAGGAGTCATAAGCTTGTGAAAAGAGAGAAATTTTTACAATGTATTTTAAGGGCAAAGTTGTGATTTAAGTTCTACTTCTTTAACCCTAGGGGTACAAGGTGGGAAGTATCTAACCCTCTACTCAAGCCTTGTTGGTACACTGAGATAATTTGATATAGATTCCTTGTATCTAGGGGAATGCAGTGACCTGGGTCTGACTTCCATCTCAAGGAATGAGGAGGGCAAGAGAGATATTCTGTCAAGTTGCCTGGAAGGAAAAGCTAAGATAAGGTGGAAGGAAAAGCTAAGATAGGGTGTTGCTGTATCTAGAAAGTAGCTATACTCGGAACTGTAGGAAAATGAGATGAGACTGAATATTTACCAAGGACCTAGTGTGGACCACACATGAGATAAAGCTATTTTCATGCTGGTTCAAGGTTTGACTTGTAAAACTTACTTTAAGGGGCCAAGGAACTCTAAAGTGGAGTGTTTTGTGTGAAGTGGAGGTGTCAGAATCTGGAACAGAGAAGAAAGTATGTATTAGTCTGTTCTCTCATTGCTATAAAGAACTACCTGAGATTGGGTAGTTTATAAAGAAAATAGGTTTAAATGACTCACAGTTCTACAGGCTGTACAGGAAGCATGTCTGGAGAGGCCTCAGGAAACTTACAATCATGCCGGAAGGTGAAGGGAAAGCAGGCATCTCTTACATGGCTGGGGAAGGAGGAAGAGAGTGAATGGGGAGGTGCCACACACTTTTAAACAATGAAATCTTGTGAGAACTCACTATCAAGAGAACAGCAAGGAGGAAATCTGCCCCCATGATTCAATTACCTCCAAACAGGACCATTCTTCAACACTGTGGATTACAATTCAACATGAGATTTGGGTGGGGACACAAATCTAAACCATATCAGAGTAGCATGACCAAGACCACAGGATTTTCACCTGGAGGGTCCTAGTAGAAGGCATCTACATGAGAAAGTCAGTGCATCTGCAAACCACCATACAAATGCATTCCATGAATAAGATTATGTTCTTCCTCTTGTCATCACTCATCGTGGGCCATCCCAGAAAGCTTCGGCAACTTAGATCGTCAACTCAAGAAAGGAGAAATGCTAAGTGGGAAACAGAATGCTAAAGGAAAATGCCTCTTCATAGCAAGCAGCCAGATTGCAGTATGCTCCAGCTTGGGACAGAGATTTTACCAAAGAAACAAGTGTGTGTGTGTATATATATATATATATATATATATATATATAGAGAGAGAGAGAGAGAGAGAGAGAGAGAGAGAGAGAGAGAGAGAGTTGCATTTTGAGAAACTGATTTTTGAATTGAAGTTGCAATTCTGAAATTAATCATAGTTCTGCCTAATACCTAAATGTGAACTAAGGAAACTGATGTATTATTTTCAAGTTTTTATCAAGGTAGGGGAGCCTCCACCACTCCACACATTTTAAAATGACAGAATGAAATAAAAGTAAAGTTGCATTTTGGCACATCATTTTTGTTAGACTTGTTCAACTACCTTACAAGTTATTTGGTTCAGAGAGCTAGGGCCTTTATTTATGAATTAGTTTTGAATGCAAGTTTTATGTTTGAAAACTCAGGGAGTTGGGTTTATATCTAAAATCTTCATTAAGGACCTAAGAAATACAAATTAATAAAAGCATACATTCTTTGGCTCAAAAAATCATGAACTATTCTCATTAATATTTTATTGCAAATTTAGACAAGTTTATCATTCTATCCTGTGTTCCTAAACACAGGATTAGAATATTATTTGCTTTTTAAATTAAGGTATATTTTTTCTCCATTTGAATATATTGCACCCAATTTAATCTCCATATTTCCAATCACCAACAACCTTCAATAGTTTACTCTGAAATGCTATACATTAGTTAACCAAAGGCAATCATGAGTGTTATATCACCTTGTGTAATATCAATCTTGGGCTTTCTGGCTTCTAACAAAGCCCAGCCATTAAAATCAATAACCACGTTAACTTAAGTTCAGGACACTTTAAAGTTTTGCATATGTTTTTCTAGAAAATCTAGCTCAGTACATTATACTTTTGTTTTTCTAAGGACAATTTTCCATAATGGGATAACATTTCCAAAAGTGAGATTTGCAGCATAATGATATTAATGATAGATATAAATTCATATTACAAATATTTATCATATCCAATACAAGTTCTTCATAATTATCTCAACTCATAAAATTATCTTTTTGATATTTTGAGCAACAAATTACATGACAAAATAGATACTAAGGAGGATCACTCTATTATTCAACATGAACCTGAAATTTTGTTCGACTTAATTTTAATACTCGATAGTCATAATAATTGAGCACTTTTTTTGGCTGATCAAAAATCTTGGATCTATGCCAAGTTCTTCTTTATTCTTAACAATCTAAGGAGTTAAATTTTGGCCTTTTTTGTAAGAACTGGCTCACTATTTTAGCCATCTGAGGTGTTTATGTATATGATATGTGCTCTTAAGCATAAGGACATAGTTTTTCCATGTCCTTTTACACTGCTTGATTCAGAAATTCTCTATTCCTTTACTTAAAAAAAAGACTTCATTTTCAGAGTAGTTGTAGGTTTGTAGAAAAATTGAGCAGAAAACACATAGAATTCCCGTCTGCCACCCAACAGTTTCCCCTATTAGTATCTTGCATTAGTGCAATACATTTGTTCCGACTGATGAGTCAATGCTGGTGCCTTTTATTAACTAAATTTGATAGTTTACATTAGAGTTCACTTCTTGTATTGTATATTCTATAGATTTTAACAAATATATAATAACATGTATCCACTATTACAATACCATACAAAATACTTTTATTGCCCTAAAACTACCCTGAGTTCCACTTACTCATCCCTGTTTCTCCCTGAACCCCTGGCAATGACTAATTCACTACTGTCCCTATAGTTTTGACTTTTCCAAACTATCACACAATTGAAACCATACAATTTGTAGCCTTTTCAAATTGATTTATTTCACTTAGTAATATGCAATTAGGGTATCTCCACATTTTTTATGGCCTAGGAGCTCATTTTTTTCATCATTAAATAACAGTTCATTGTAGGAACATACCACAGTTTGTGTATCCATTTTCCTAGGTTTAAATTGTTTTCCTTTCTCTAGATTCCTTTGGTGGAAGCTTATATTATTAATACTTTATCTTTCTCCTTTGTCTAGGCATATCCCTGAAAGTACTGCTTTTACTGTGACCACAATATTGCTAAGTTGTATTTTAATATTCATTTACTTCAAAATATTTTTTAAAATTTCCTGGAGGCATTTTTTCCCATCCATATATTATTTACAAGTATGTTGTATAATCTTCAAATATTTGAGAATTTTCTTTCTTTCTTTTATTTATCTCTAGTTAAATTTCATTGTGTTTAAAAATATACTTTGTAAGATTCCTATTCTTTTAATTTATTAAGGTGCGTTTTATAAGCCAGAATTTGGTATATTTCAGTGAATGTTTCATGTAATCTGGAAGAAAGTGTGTATTATTCCATTTTTTAATAAAATATTATGTAAAAGTTAATTAGATAAACTTTGTTGATATTTCTTTTTAGGCCAACTCTATCTCTATGGATTTTTAAAATGTGGTGCATGCACACCAAGGAATACTATGCAACCATAGAAAGAATGAGATCATGTCCTTTGCAGCAACATGGACAGTGCCAGAGGCCATTATCCTAAGGAAACTAATGCAGGAACAGGAAACTTATTTCCACATGCTCTCACTTATAAGTGTTAGCTAAACATTGAGTACAGATGGATACATGTGGAGAGTGGAGGGCAGGAAGAGAGAAGAGGATCAGTAAGCAACCTATCAGGTACTATGTTTATTACCTGGGTGATGAAACTATCTGTATACCAAACTCGCATGACACGCAATTTACCTATATAACAAACCTGCACATGTACCCTTGAATCTAAAATAAAAAATAAAAAATAAAAAAAACAATTACTGAAAGCGAGGTGTTGAAGTTTGTAGCTGTGATACTGGTTTGTATGTTTCTCTTTGCAATTCTGGCCATTTCCAAATATATGTTGATGCTTTGTTCTAGAAATATAGCTATCTGAGAATTGATCCCGTTATCATTATGTGATGTGGTGTACTGGCCTTTACTCCCTGATAATTTTCTTTGTTCTAACGTGTACTTGGTGTTGGTTTAAAATAGCCACCTCAGATTTCTGATTAGGGTTATCATGGTATATTTTTCTTCATAATTTTTCTGTTTTTACAAAAGCATTATTCACATACAAGCCACCATCCCTTTATTTTTAACCAGAATCTTTATATTTAAAGATGGTTTATTGTAGTCAACCTAAAGTGAAGTATTCTGTTTTTCTTTAACTCTCAAATTCTCTTTAGTTTGGTTTATTTGACCATCCACACCTAAGGCAGTTATTGATTTAGTTGTGATATCTTACATGTCCATAACTACTTTCTGTTTACCACACTTACTATTTATTTCCTCTCTTTTGTGTTCTGTGGTTTTAATTGAGCATTATATAAATCCGTTTTATTCCCTCTCTTATGTAAGTTTAATTTATGTTTTTATTTGTTCTAATTGTTGCTCTGGAGATTGAAAGATACATTTTGAACTAATCCACATACACCATCAAATCACACTATAATGTTTCCTTTCTAATGTAGGGACATTATAGCAGGTTATTTCCAATTCCTCCCTCCCACCCCTGTTGGCATTGTTGTCATTAATATCATTTACTCACATCTATAATCACCTAATAGATTGTTAAATGTTTCAACGTAAAATTTCTCATGGAAAATTGTCAGTATTATGTATTTTATATATATTTAATGAATACATATATTATATAATTATATATCTATATTATTTTTTACATTTAATATATTTAAATATATTAATATATTTATGTACTTAAATATATATTATAAAGAAAAATAAATACATATTAACTATATAAATTTATATATTTAAATATATTTATATTTTGAAAATATATATATTTTAAAACATATAAATATATTTAAATATATAAATTTTAAAAATGTATTAAATATATGTTTAAATATATATTTATATTTTAAAAATGTATTAATTTATATATATATAATTATACATTTATATATTTATTTATATATATTTAAAATATAAATATATATAGATTAAAAAATAAAAATATATAATTAATTGACTTTGTTCTTGAAGCCCTGCTGGGAAAACAAAAGCCTCTTCAGGCAATGTGTTCTTAGAGCAAAGTTCAAAGAAAAATTATCCAATAGCTGCAGTTTTTCCTCACTGTCAATTTTCATGAAATTGCTGCAAAGATGGTACCTAGAAGTCTATCTATGTACCTAGAAGTCTTCTGAAACATGATTTCAGAAGGTTTGCAGCCATGTGACATATGAGTTTTATGATTTCTTAGAGTCAATACACTTTTTCCTGTGGGAATACATTTGACATCTGTAATAGTATAATGGAAGCTAGTGTGAAAGTTTATTAGATTAAAACACCTATGAATTCTGCTTCTACACAAAATGAGGTAAATCGTTATTAACTTAACGAATGCTCTACCCGACTGCCTTCATGTTATTTGTCTACTAGTATATTATCTATTCTAAAGAATGGTCTAATTCTACAATAAATGGAATGAATCAGGGATAGCATATGTGTACTGTTCAAATCATTCAGCTCTGCTAGTGATTTTATTCATTTTTAAACCTATTAATTTAGCTTGTCTGACTATTGTATTCACATGTAACTTATATATAAGTTTTATATTAACATATAATACAATATAAAGGCACTCTGGTTTTTAAAAAACTATACCAAAAAGAGTTACAATAATAATGAAAGCTAATATTTTCTAAATTCTAGCAGTGTTATCAGAACTATCCTTCCTTAACAAATATTCTATTTAATCCCCTCAACAAATCTATATTGGGGATTTCATTATAATCTTCACTTACAGTTTTGGAAAACGAGGTTCACATAGGTTAGGTAAACTTCCCAAGAGTTCAAGAGTTCACATGAAGGAGATAAGCTTCAACCCAAGCAGTAGTTTAAATCCAGAGCTGAGATTCTTAACAACAAAACAACTTTTTACTTTCCCATAAAAAGAAACTAGTGATTTTCTTTCATAAAATAAACTTTTTCTTCCTCTTTAGATGGAAAGAGAGAGACAGAAGATGCAGTGATATGTTTTTAAGTTAAAGTTCGCATTTCGCCAGTTAAATTGAATCCTGGATAACATATAAAATTCTTTTTTTTAAATTTGAATAATAACCTCTAGTTAACTGCCTGATTTTCTCTTTATTCATGTTAATAAATAGCACATAGTGTTTTGAAACAAATAATAATCAAATATTTCAATTTAAAAATATGATATTTTTAATTCTTTTCGATTCTCTGAAAAATGTATATGTACTCCAATTATTGTTAATTCCCTAACAGTAGTATATAGATTTTTAATGAAATGCTTATAAAAATATATCTGGACTAAAAATATAAATATATATTTCAAATAAAATTACAGAAGTGTTTAATCATGGTAGTTTTTCTTAGAAAAACATCTCAATTATATTTCTGCAGAATATTTGTTTGAACATGTATCAATAGTAAATTTGAACAATATTATCTTTAAAAAGAAAGCATTCATTAACATTTAAATGAATGAGAAAATATTTTCTGACTTTTATACACAAAGTATTCTTCCAAATTGTTTGCATTATAGCAGTTGAATTATTACTTGGATAAGATATTTGGTGAAATAATTTAAAATATGCCTCAAATTAAATATCACCCCCTTAGAATATATGTGGTAAAGAAAGTCTGATTCATAAAAAGTTAGAGAACAAAGCTTTCATATAATTTCCTTTCTTCTTTCATACAGGTTTAAAAAATATCTATTCCTTCTATAAACTTTTCTAGGGAATTTGGCAACAAAGGTAGTGGATAGAACACAAACAAGTATAGCTCCACCTATTCAGGTGACATCTCATTTGTTCATGCTAATTAAAAACCTTCCAGTGAAACAAATCCAGGCCATGTACACAGAGTTCCTAGTCAACTTTTCCATTCAAGTTATCATGTCATTGGGCCGACAGACATATTTCAAAACAGCGTAGGAAAGCCAATCTGACTTCCTAGGTTAATGAAAGCTCTCCTTCAGTTAAAATGGAAATGGACCGTTGTGATAGTAGTGAGGCTGTGCCTCTTTGATATAAGGGAGAATAATTGACTGAGGGTCTTGACTGCTGCACTCTAAAATCCATTGCTGTATTTCTCTTTCCACACGCTGCTACTATTTGATGACTGAGTTTGGTTAGGATACTAAGGTATGCCCCTTCCTGGGAGATGTGGGATTCCTCTGTCAGAATTAATTGAACTTGCTGAACTGTCCTTAGAAATGTACTGCAGCTTAAAACACTTCCACCTAACTATCCTTCTTCCTGTCTTGCTTTTTGTCTTTTCTCTCTCTTTCACGAAGGATCAGATTGCCATCGTGGTTTTCATGGGTCTCCCAGACCTTCTGTTCCCTCTTAGTTTTCTCTCAGTGATGTTTCTCAGACGATCTAGACTAACATAGACAAAAAGTGTGTATACACACACACATACTTTGGTTGTTTTCAGCTTTTGTTGATAAAGAACAAAGCTACTAAAACATTTTTAAGGAGGCATGTCTGTGTGTGTGTGTGTGTGTGTGTGTGTGTGTGTCTGTGCACGTGTGCACATAAGTTCTCAATTCTCTTGGCAAATATCTGGGAGTGAAATTACTGGGTCATTTGTCAAGTTTATATCTTACTTGTTAAGAATCTACCAACTTATGTTCCAAAGTGTCTATATGATTTTACATTCCCTCCGCCAGTGCTTGAGGGTTTCAATTTATCTACTTCCTCACCAAAAACTATATATATATATATATATATATATATATATATATATATATATATATGTAAAATATATATATAATTATATATGTATATATAATGTTTTATACAATAAATTAAAAGTAGATTCTATTATGCATATATTTTATTTTATAAGATATATATTTATGTATATATTTTATTTTATAAGATATACATTTATGTATATATTTTATTTTATAAGATATACATTTATGTATATATTTTATTTTATAATATAAATATTGTTAAATATATTGTTATAAATAAGTTGAAAAGTAAGTTTTATTTTAGATGTATATGTAAAATATAATTTATTTTTAACTACATGAAACTAAAAATACTTCAGTTTTTCTGCTTACTTTCTGCCAGTTATTCTTGTACCTTTTCTCTCTTTTATTTAGTTATTTTTTGTATAACAGTTGATTGAGGTAAATTTTCATTCCATAAGATACACCATTTAGAATGTTTGTAATTAAATATTTGGTAAATTTATAGAGTTGTAAGCTATCACACAATCCTGTTATAAAACATTTCTGTCACCAAAAGAGTTTCTTTGTACATGTTACCAATCAATGCTTCCTTCAATTTCCCAGTCCCTGGTAACAACTGGGATCATCTGTGTTCTGATCACCTCCACTACTAATTTGGTTGGTGAAGGAGGGGTCCCTCACCTCAAATAGTATAAAATAGCTGAACACACACCACCTGATACCGCACAGATGAGACAGACTGCAGGTTATTAGTTACATATACTCACAGACTAGAGAAGGGGGACACTGGGCCATGCAGAGATGCACTCTGGAGCACAGTAAATCAGTAGGGGCTCTGGGAGGCAGGCTTTCTAGTAACAGGTGGGTAAGATGTTCCCTGATTCCCATTGAAGGTGTGACTAATTTGTTTGACTAACTTTTTGGCTGTAAGGGAAGTGAAACTGTTAGGTTGAGGACCAGGTGGAGTGTAGTTGGTCTGGCTGATACAGGAACTAGCTGTATAGGGACCCTTTCCCTTTGAATGGGGACATTTCTAGCAAGAGCAGGAGACTTACCATTAGGCCTCTGAGGACTTAGGAGCATCAAGGACATGAAGCCAGAACTTGAAATTTTATCCCATACAAGACAATTTATATCTGGCTTCTTCTACTTAGCCTGACATTTTTGAGGTTAATGTGTACCATAATATATGTACCAAATAGCACATATACCATAACAGTAGCAGTCTGTTCCTTTTTATTGCTGAATAGTATTCCATTTTATATATTTAACATAGTTTATCTATTTACCTGTGGAAGAATCTTGTGGTTGTTTTCCACTTTTGTTAATGAAGAGCAAAGCTACTAAAACATTTTAAGGAGGTATGTGTGTGTGTGTGTGTGTGCACACAAATTTTCAATTCTCTGGGCAAATATCTGGGAGTGAAATTACTGAGTCATCTGTCAAATGTATTTTTTTAAATTTTACTTTACATTCTGGGATATATGTGCAGAAGGTGCAGGTTTATTACATAGGTATACATATGTCATGGTGGTTTGCTGCACCTATCAACCCATCATCTAAGTTTTAAGCCTACTGAATTATGTTCCAAAGTGGCTACATGATTTTACATTCCCTCCACCAATGTCTGAGGGTTCCAATTTCTCTACTTCCCCACCAAAAACTTGATACTGTCAATTTTTTATTACAGCCATCCTATTAGATGTGTACCTATATTATATTGTAGTTTTAATTTGAACTTTTCTAATGCAATAAAGTAATAAAAATATATAATAAGTAAATAAATGGGATAAAATGGTGCTCTAATTAAAGGTATATAAGCCGTCCTTTAACAAGAAAAAAATAAAGCTTTTCAAAGCCCTGGGTGGATATGGGAGCAAGGAATTCTATTGGAAATATTTATTTAATTTGTGAATCCAACTTTTATAGAACAACTTGAACAACTGGGAAAGTTTTAGAGTGTAGTGGCTTAGGGGTAGTAGAATCTTAATATCTGAAAACAAGGAATCCCTTAACAGATTGTTTGGCTCTGTTGTGAAAATTGTTCACATATTCAAATATTGTCATTCTTGTTAATGAGTTTTTAGCTTTAGAATCATCCTAATTACAAAACATTTAGGACTTAATTATGGTTATAAAACCAAATGTAAATGCTATGAACATTGTCAATGGATGAATTTTCCATAAAGCATTTGAAACTATTTGATTTGGACTCTTCTAAAAATAAGGCCAAAATCAAATAAAAAATAAAGTGAGGTTGGTATATAATGGAAATATGGGTCTACTTACTGTTTTCAAAAATTTGATACTGAAATTTTCTTTCACCGCAACAATAAAATTTTATATTTCACAATACTGCTTGTTCTTTGGCAGGAAACAACTTTTCCTTATTCTCTGGTCTGCAGGCTATTTCTCCCTGATGAGAAGGGGAAGGAGAAAGAGAACTAAAATATCTTGAGGGATTTCCAACTTTACACAGACATTGCATTAGAGTTTCTAAATATCTTATCTCTTTAATCCTCACAATAAACCTGCTAGGAAGAGATTTATCTCTTTATTGTAGAACAGAACAGTTTTTAGTTTACCAGTTATGAGACTAAGCTAGACTCTCCCTAAGAAAATTTGCAATAAGAGAGCCATCCTCCTCTTTTAAGTATCAGAAAAAAAATTAGTATAACTTTAATAAAAGATATTTTTACATAGATGACAAACCTTACTTTCTCTTAGTTACCTTCATTATTCAAAGAATTAATGTACAATCTCTAAGGGATCAATAGTTTATTGAATAAAAGTGGTATATTTTATTAACCATATAAAATACGGACCATTCAATAAAGCATTCATATTATCCAGTTTTCATCTTTCTTTTCCAAACCATACTATTAAAATCAGCAAAAATGTACACAAACAAACTCATTTATATAAGAGTATATATCTTTATATTTCTCTTCATGAATTAAAATTTTAACAGGCAAACTTCGTTTGATATGACTTGGTTGTTCTTAAATTTAGGTTTATTTTGTGATATTATTGTAGCCAAAAGACTTATGTCCTAAACCAGGGGTTCAAGCTTTGGCTCAGGAGCCAAATCAAGCTTTTAGTTTTTTGTTTTGTTTTGTTTTGCTTTTTTTAATGAAGCTTTGTTGAAATAAAGCATGCTCATATATTTACATATTGTCTATGGCTCTTTTCATGCCACCACATCAGGGTTAACCCTTTGTAACAGAAAGTATTTGGCCACAATTCCCAAAATATTTACTGTTTGTTTGTTTGTTCTTTTAAATAAAATATTTGTCAACTCTTGCTCTAAGATATTCTTTCCCTTAAGTTTTCTAAACAGGATTTTGAGTTGAACTCTTCCATGAAAATATCCATGATTTAATACCCCCACAACTATGTGTTCTATAATGTTAATGGCTTAAGTCTTTATCCACATATATTATTGCATTTGATATCTTTCTCTGAACATACGTTTAGTTAATACAGGCACATATGTCCTGCCAATCCAACTGGATAAGGATATTTACTTGTAAGGATGAAATTTATATATGCTACTCTTGTTGAATTCTTCCTTAATGAACAAGCATTAATGGCAGTAGATACACTAGGTACTCAGTAACATTTTTAATGTTTTTCCAAACCATGGCTTTAGGGACTTTGTACTCCTCTATCAACATAGTAAATTATGTCAGTAAAACAAAATTACTTATGATATTCTAACAAAGCTAAGGTGTACTCTGTATTTCAGGATTCAGTGAAAATAATTAAATCACCAGTACTTTTGTTTGTATGCATAGACTTATAAAACAATCTAGATAAGAAATAACAACAACAACAACAACAACAAACTCTGTCAATATTAAGGCTTGAGACTTGCAGACAGACAACTGTGATAGGCAATATATTATCCATGAAGTTCATGATAAGGAACAAAACAAAAAAATAGAGTCACTACTCATTTATTCATTTATCCTACTAGAAATGAGCATTCACTAAAAAATTCTGCCCCTGCCAAATAACAATCTCTTGTTTCAAGTGATTTAGTGGACTTCTTTATCATAAATGTATCTCCTTATCTGTTTACTTAACTTTAGCTGAATTACAAGGATTTAAGTAGCTGTGAAACTTGTATTGAACAAATCAGGTAGTTGCTTTTCATAAACCATTGCAGTTCTACCATACTCTGACCATATGATAAGACCCAGTGAAAATTTAAAAAAGAAAAAAATGAGGAAAACTAAGAAATAATTAGTAGCTTATATCTAGGCTACACATTTAATGTGAGTATAAAAATGTGTAATGGCATCCACTAATATACATTTGGCATACTGTGTATTAATCAAGTATAAACTTAATTGAATTTTAATACATACTAAATCAGGTTATATTTAATGACTCAAGAAAAAGTCTACTCAAGTTACTACTTAATATGTAATTAACCCTTGACATCTAATTAAGAATATTTCTTTCTTAAATTGTGTATCTCAAAACTTAGAAAAAATACTGATTGAACATTGTAAGATTTATTAATAATGTTTAGAATTAATATTTTAAGGTATACGTGAATGTTCTCTAAAGAAAACCTACTCACTATTTCAAAAAATATGAAAATGCTTTTAAAATGCATTATTCATTATTGTTTTGTATTCACAGAAAATTTTAAAAAGGAGAAAAATCTGTAAGATAAAACCCTTTTATCCAAACACAATCCTTTCAGTTTATCAATAATAATTATTTATTAAACAATTACATACACATTCCTCATTTAAATCAAATATTATTAGCACTGAATATAATGAAAGATTAAATATGAACACTGCTTTTTACACTCAATTCAGAAAAAAAATCTTAATAATTAGATTTGATTGTCAGAAAAATCCATCTTAGATCCTAATATTTCAGATAACTAAAACATATTACTACGTGTATTTCTCTAGTAGTCCAGATTATTTTAAATGATTGCTGTTACTTAGCATCTCAATCCTGTCTGGTTTTTCTGAGTGGTTTTACATTGCCACATTGTTTAAGTCGGTTGTGTATTTAATAAAAAGTTTGATACTTTATTTCTACTCTTCTTTTATAGAAGTAATGGGCTCCAAAAATCAATTATATTTTAACATTAGTCGTAATCATTATTATCAGGCATAGCTTTTTATGTATGCATTAAGTGCTTGTAATTATTGTTTTACCATTCACATTTTCAAATTGCCTCTCTCTTTTCCTTTCACTAAGATTAAAATTCAAGGATTTATTCTTGATCAAGATAAAAGTAATATGACTGCCTTGTGTTCTATTATGCCTTGGGGAGTATAAGTGAAGGGCACTTGGTGTCAAATAACGACTCCTCCATTGTGTATTGTGTATTGTGCATTTATTGTATCTTCAAAAGATAAACATACACAGCATTTCACCTAATTTAACTTTGTTAGATGGTTATTTCATCTCTTTTTTTTTCTACTTATCCTCTGTGACATTTACTGTCATAAGGAAAGTTAAAAATTAAAAACAAAAGTTACCTATGTCTCAAAAATGTGAAGCATGAACTGTTGGTGTTCTAGCATCAGGCACTTCATTGATATGATCGCAAGAATAAAAGAAAATGTATATTTGATACTTAAGATTTAAGATGGATCACATTCTCCCATACTTAATAATCTTTCCTGGTATTATTGAAAAACTTATGTTAGTAATTAAATAGTTAAAAATTTAATCAAGTTTAAGTAACTATGGTTTAAAGATACTTTAATATAAAGATATGTTAACTAGGTATAAAGTTGTTAGCTAGGCAAATGTAAGGGAGAGAGAGAGATTTTAAAAAATATTTCTTTTGTTGCAACTGTAAAAGGTAACTTCCATCCCAAGGGTTGGGACAAACAGGTAAGAAGTTATACTTACTAAAACTCAAAAGCTGAGATAAGTGTCCCTGTAGAATTCAAGCTCAGATATCTGAGAGTGTGTGATTCAACTACAGATATGAAGGATCTGCTCTTGCCAAGGTAAAGAGATGGTACTCCCGTGACACTCAAAGGAACTGCAAACAGAAAGGATACAAACAGGAAGACTAAAGGAAGTACATATGAAAAATTAGTGTCTTCCTCTAGGCTTGCAAGCTACTACTAGTGCCCTTTCTTGGTAAGGCCTAACAAGGAGCCACTTTCAAGGGAGAAATGTGATTTATAAGACATATCCTATGAATCACAAAGTAGAATATGGGAGGAAAGGTTTAAACTTGAAAGTAATCGATTAAAAAGTAGTCAGTCCACCTCTTTGGCTGTTCAGCATTCATATGCACATTTCAACACATATTTAAATGTTTGAAATAATCTTAAACTTGTATCAAATTTGCTAATAAAGCACAATTTTTCCCTTTGAACTAGTTGAACATAATCACAGAATGAAACAGTTACACAATACTCCATTATCTATGAATAATTTGTGGGTATGTATTTTTTAGAAACAAAGATATTTTCTAACATAATCACCAGAATAAGAATATTAACATTGACACATTATTGCCATCTAATCCTCAGCCTTCATTCAACTTTCAACAATTGTCTTAATAATTTACTTTATCGTAAAACTATCCAGTTCAAAATAAAACTGTTTGCTTTTAGTTGTCATGTGTCTCATTTTCTTTGAAATTACTTTGACTTTCCTATTCTGTATAATTTCTAAAACTATGGAACAAGTGTTTTTGTAGAATATTTCCAGGTTTGGGAAACAATTTGAGTATGCACTTAGCTTTTTCTTTTTTTTTCTTTTTTTTTTTTTTAGATTTTCTAATGGTTAGACTCTGACTCTAATGGTTTGGCAATAATATAACAAAAATGCTGCTATGTTCTTCTCATTGCATGCTAACCATGATGTAGAATTTCAGTGTATATGAACACTGGTAATATTTAATTTGATCTCTCAGAAAAATAGCTGTATCTGTCACTTCTTCCATGTAAAGTTACTCTATTTTCCTTTATAATTAATAAATACTTGTGGGAAGATACCTTGAAACTATGTATTAGGTTGGTGCAAAAGTAATCACGGCTTTTGTACTAAAACCGATTAATTTTGCACCAGCCTAATACATTTCCAATTTTCATTAAATCTTTATTTTTCTATTTATTGATACAAGTATGGACTCATGGGTTTCTATTTTATTCAATAACATGTAAGCAATTGTAATCATTTTGCTTTAGTCTGTTTCTGCTGCTTGTAGCAAAATGCCTATAACCGCGTAACTTAAGAAGAAATACATTTATCTCTTAGAGTTACATAGGCTGGGAAGCCTAAGGTTGAGGCGGTACATCTGGTGAGAGTCTTCTTGCTGGTGGGGACTCTCTGGGGCATCCTGGGGTGATAGAGGCTATCACAGAGTGAGGGGGCTGAGCATACTGGTGATATCTTAGGTGATATCTCAGTTTTCTCAATTCTTACAAAGCCACCAGTTCCTCTCTCATGATAATTTACTAATCCATTAATCCGTAATTGAATTAATCTATTCATGAGGGCAGAGCCCTCCTAATTCTATCACCTCTTAAAGGTCCCACATCTCAATACTGCCACATTGGGAATTCTGTCAATGTGAGTTAGAGGGGACAGATATTCAAATCATAGCACATAGTTTAATTTTGAAGTTAAAATGACCCAAAGTTAATACGAGCATCTGTTTCCTTTTAACACATATACATCATTCTTTGAGTGCATCTGTATTTTCTGATGCATCAAGATGTTCCAGGTGCATCATGTACTTTTCATGTTCATCAGAGAAAAGTCTTAAAATATCAATTTGAAGTGCTAAAAATAAAACTCACGGTACCACAGGTTCCCAATTCCTTTAATAGGCTGAAGGAAATACCCAACCTGAAATATCAAGAAGAAAAGAGAGGAAATATCAGGGAAAGCAGAGCTGAATATCCATGGATCACAGAATAATATCAAATTGCTTAATATACCTGTAACCATCACCCCAGAAAAAGCAAATATAGATAGCAAGAAAACATTCTGAGAAGAAATAAAATATTTTATGATATAGAGAGAAAAACAACAAACAACAACTCCAATCTTACTCAATTCCCCAACTCCATTTAAGATACTAAGATAACCTTTATACCAACTCCAAACAAGATCAGTATGAGAAAAAAAAAGAACCAGTAAAAACCCTCAGTAAACACATATGCAAAAAGTCTTAAACACAAATAGAAAGTTGCATAGACAGATAAACTTATAGATATAAATATCACTGAATATCTATCTAATCTTTCTAAAGATATAAAGACATACCATGACTTACGAAGATTTATCCAGAAATACAAAATTGATTTAACTTTAGTTATTAATCACTGTAATTCTGCATAATAGCAGATTATAGGGGAACAATTACATGATGATATTGATCATATTTATAAGAAAAACATTTGATAATAATCAGTAAGTTTTCATAATGAAATATTATAGCAAAAAGTCATCTAATTAAAATTACCCATAATTGAAACTTACATTAACAATTGTATTTAAATGTGAAATATGGGCAGCTTTTCTTTTTAATGAGAAAAATATAAAAATAAATTATCATGATCCCCACTTTTTTGCAACCTTGTAATGAATTGCTAGACAATGAAGTAAAAGGAAGTACCTGTAAGATTTGAAAAGGAAGAAAACCATAGTTATTATATTTCTTGGAAAAAATAAAAGAAAAATAGCATTATTTTCAGGCAATAAGATTGTATGTATAGAAAATCCAAAATAACTTAGAGATGAATTTAGAAAATTACAAGCCTGGATCCAAAAATAGATATATAGAATCACTTGTATTTCATATACAAACAACAATCAGGAAAGTATTTTTTAAAAAGAGGATAAAAGTAGCATTAATGTATATATAGTACTAAAAATAAATAGCAGGAAAACTTTATTGAGGAGTATAAGAGCTAAATAAATGAGAAAATATACATTTTGATGATTTGTTAGACTCAATATTGTTAACTTATCAATTCTTTTCAAGCTATACTAAGGATCAAATGTATTCCATCTAACATTCTACATGCATGTGTGAAAACTACCTGTTCTACATACTGACAATACTCATAAAATCTTAGTATTAGAATAGTGTATTCTTGGCACAAGGCTAGACAAATATACAAATTTTCGGACTAAAGAGTCCAGAGACAGATTTATGGTTATGTGGACACTTGATTTACAACAAAATTGACATGGCTAAATAAAAGTGGAAGACAATCTTTTCAGTTGTACTAGGAAATTGATTATCTATATAGAAAAAAATAATTGAAACTTTTTCTCATAAAACACTCAGTTATTGAATTATAAGTAATAGGCAAAATAATAAAAAATACAAAAAAACTTCATGGAATGAGAGGATATATATATTTATCTTTTGTGTGTATATGTGTATGTATATATATAAAACCATATATATATATTTAACCTTACAAATAATTTATTGTATATTTTGAGAACACACAATATTTTAAGAATATACAATAAATTATAAGTGACCATGTTCACTCTACCATGCTACAGAAAATCAGAACTCATTCCTCCTATTTAATTGTAATGTTGTATCTCCTAACCAAACTCTCCTCATTCTGTTTTCTAACTCCCCTTCCCTGCCTCTTATACTCACAATTCTTATCACTACTTTTCTGAGCTCAAATTTTATCAAGTCAATTTTTAATGACACATTACCACCTTTTCCATATCTCTTAATTATGTGTGTATATATATACATATATATACACATAAAACCTCATATATATAAAACACCATATATATATATATATATAACCTTATATATAAATATAAGGTTCATAGTTGCATATTTAAGTGACAGTATTTTAAGCCAAACAAGTGATTGATGTAAAACTCAGGACACTTGCTTCTGGCAGGGGTAGGTGGTTTATGACCAGGAAGGAGCAATAGTAGGTGTGAGTATTGACATTCTAGTTTTTGATCTGCATGGTTGCTTATAGTTATTTAAGCCATACATATACCTTATCTTACTGTTTTGTGAATGTGTTATATTTCATAATAAAAGGTGGAATACACAGATTTTAATTTGGGGCAGCTAATTTCTTTTCCAACCCATAAGGATTTGAGAAAGTGGGCTTTAATTACTATTTATTTAATACGTTGAAGCTGGTTTTAAGTGACTTTATTCACATGGTTTTGCTTTCTTGATGATATACTCAATTCATGTCACTTTAAGAGCAGTATGTCTACTTAAGAGACATGGGAGAGGTGATGATTTGTCATTAAAAACTGACTTGATAAAATTTGAGGTCAGAAAAGTAAAGAGTAGAATTGTGGGTATAAAAGTCTGGGAAGGAGAGGTAGAAAACAGAGGCTGGGGAGAGGTTGGTTAATAGATACATTACAGTTAGATGGGGGAATGAGTTCTGGTTTTCTGCAGCACTGTAGGGGGAATATGATCACATAAAATTTATTGTCTATTCTCAAAAAGCTGGAAGAGAGAATTTTGAATGTTCACATGACAAAGAAATGATCAATTTTTTTGACTTGAAGGATATGCTAATTTTCCCAATTGATCATTACACATTATACATGGGTATCAAAATATCAGTCTGTATCCCATAAATATATACAATTATTATATGTCAACTAAAATTTTAAAAATATATTTAAAAAGCTGACTTGGTATCATGCACAATTTACTATTTTTGAACAAGTGCTTTCTGACTCCTTGTTTTCAGTTAGAGAAAAAATTTTTTAAAGTTATTTAAACAACATATGCAACTTACCTTTGTAGTCATACATTTTATGTATAATTACTTTTTGTTATTTTTGGAGATCTTGATATTCCTTAAAATTTCTAAATCCAAAATATACCATGAACATAGCAATTTAGTTTATCTCTTCCAAATAGACAAGACTACTTCTTCCTTAAATGTATGAATTGCTTGCCAAATATTTTATTTATATTATAAAGCATTGTTGATAAATTTAAAATGAAAATAATTCCACAGTTTCCAAATGTGTTTAGAATTTACATTACTGCATTCGAAAGTATAAAATTATTAGAGTAGAAAGAAGCCAAGATGGCCAAATAGGAACAACAACGGTCTACAGCTCCCAGAGTGAGCGACACAGAAGACGGGTGATTTCTGCATTTCCATCTGAGGTACCGGGTTCATCTCACTAGGGAGTGCCAGCCAGTGGGCACAGGTCAGTGGGTGCACGCGCGAGCCTAGCCGAAGCAGGGTGAGGCATTGCCTCACTCGGGAAGAGCAGGGGGTCAGGGAGTTCCCTTTCCTAGTCAAAGAAAGGGGTGACAGACGGCACCTGGAAGATCAGGTAACTCCCACCCGAATACTGCGCTTTTCCGACGGGCTTAAAAAACGGCGCACCAGGAGATTGTGTACCCCACCTGGCTCGGAGGGTCCTACGCCCACGGAGTCTCCCTGATTGCTAGCACAGCAGTCTGAGATAAAACTGCAAGGCGGCAGCGAGGCTGGGGGAGGGGCGCCCGCCACTGGGGAGGGGCGCCCGCCATTGCCCAGGCTTGCTTAGGTAAACAAAGCAGCCAGGAAGCTCCAACTGGGTGGAGCCCAACACAGCTCAAGGAGGCCTGCCTGCCTCTGTAGGCTCCACCTCTGGGGGCAGGGCACAGACAAACAAAAAGACAGCAGTAACCTCTGCAGACTTAAGTGTCCCTGTCTGACAGCTTTGAAGAGAGCAGTGGTTCTCCCAGCACGCAGCTGGAGATCTGAGAACGGGCAGACTGCCTCCTCAAGTGGGTCCCTGACCCCTGACCCCCGAGCAGCCTGACTGGGAGGCACCCCCTAGCGGGGGCAGACTGACACCTCACACGGCAGGGTACTCCAACAGACCTGCAGCTGAGGGTCCTCTCTGTTAGAAGGAAAACTAACAAACAGAAAGGACATCCACACCAAAAACCCATCTGTACATCACCATCATCAAAGACCAAAAGTAGATAAAACCACAAAGATGGGGAAAAAACAGAGCAGAAAAACTGGAAACTCTAAAAAGCAGAGCGCCTCTCCTCCTCCAAAGGAACGCACTTCCTCACCAGCAACGGAACAAAGCTGGATGGAGAATGACTTTGACGAGCTGAGAGAAGAAGGCTTCAGACGATCAAATTACTCTGAGCTACAGGAGGACATTCAAACCAAAGGCAAAGAAGTTGAAAACTTTGAAAAAAATTTAGAAGAATGTATAACTTCTACCAATACAGAGAAGTGCTTAAAGGAGCTGATGGAGCTGAAAACCAAGGCTCAAGAACTACGTGAAGAATGTAGAAGCCTCAGGAGCCACTGCGATCAACTGGAAGAAAGGGTATCAGCGATGGAAGATGAAATGAATGAAATGAAGCGAGAAGGGAAGTTTAGAGAAAACAGAATAAAAAGAAATGAGCAAAGCCTCCAAGAAATATGGGACTATGTGAAAAGACCAAATCTACGTCTGATTGGTGTACCTGAAAGCGACGGGGAGAATGGAACCAAGTTGGAAAACACTCTGCAAGATATTATCCAGGAGAACTTCCCCAATCTAGCAAGGCAGTCCAACCTTCAGATTCAGGAAATACAGACAACGCCACAAAGATACTCCTCAAGAAGAGCAACTCCAAGACACATAATTGTCAGATTCACCAAAGTTGAAATGAAGGAAAAAATGTTTAGGGCAGCCAGAGAGAAAGGTCGGGTTACACTCGAAGGGAAGCCCATCAGACTAACAGTGGATCTCTCAGTAGAAACTCTACAAGCCAGAAGAGAGTGGGGGCCAATATTCAACATTCTTAAGAAAAGAATTTTCAACCCAGAATTTCATGTCCAGCCAAACTAAGCTTCATAAGTGAAGGAGAAATAAAATCCTTTACAGACAAGCAAATGCTGAGAAATTCTGTCACCACCAGGCCTGCCTTACAAGAGCTCCTGAAGGAAGCACTAAACATGGAAAGGAACAACCGATACCAGCCACTGCAAAATCATGCCAAAATGTAAAGACCATCGAGACTAAGAAGAAACTGCATCAACTAATGAGCAAAATAACCAGCTAACATCAGAATGACAAGATCAAATGACAGGATCAAATTCACACATAACAATATTAACCTTAAATGTAAATGGACTAAATGCTCCAATTAAAAGACAGAGACTGGCAAATTGGATAAAGAGTCAAGACCCATCAGTGTGCTGTATTCAGGAAACCCATCTCACATGCAGAGACACACATAGCCTCAAAATAAAGGGATGGAGAAAGATCTACCAAGCAAATGGAAAACAAAAAAAGGCAGGGGTTGCAATCCTAGTCTCTGATAAAACAGACTTTCAACCAACAAAGATCAAAAGAGACAAAGAAGGCCATTACATAATGGTAAAGGGATCAATTCAACAAGAAGAGCTAACTATCCTAAATATATATGCACCCAATACAGGAGCACCCAGATTCATAAAGCAAGTCCTGAGTGACCTACAAAGAGACTTAGACCCCCACACATTAATAATGGGAGACTTTAACACCCCACTGTCAACATTAGACAGATCAACGAGACAGAAAGTCAACAAGGATACCCAGGAATTGAATTCACCTCTGCACCAAGCAGACCTAATAGACATCTACAGAACTCTCCACCCCAAATCAACAGAATATACATTTTTTTCAGCACCACACCACACCTATTCCAAAATTGACCACATACTGGGAAGTAAAGCTCTCCTCAGCAAATGTAAAAGAACAGAAATTATAACAAACTATCTCTCAGACCACAGTGAAATCAAACTAGAACTCAGGATTAAGAATCTCACTCAAAACCGCTCAACTACATGGAAACTGAACAACCTGCTCCTGAATGACTACGGGGTACATAACGAAATGAAGGCAGAAATAAAGATGTTCTTTGAAACCAACGAGAATAAAGACACAACATACCAGAATCTCTGGGACGCATTCAAAGCAGTGTGTAGAGGGAAATTTATAGCACTACATGTCCACAAGAGAAAGCAAGAAAGATCCAAAATTGACACCCTAACATCACAATTAAAAGAACTAGAAAAGCAAGAGCAAAGACATTCAAAAGCTAGCAGAAGGCAAGAAATAACTAAAATCAGAGCAGAACTGAAGGAAATAGAGACACAAAAAACCCTTCAAAAAATTAATGAATCCAGGAGCTGGATTTTTGAAAGGATCAACAAAATTGATAGACCGCTAGCAAGACTAATAAAGAAAAAAAGAGAGAAGAATCAAATAGACACAATAAAAAATGATAAAGGGGATATCACCACCGATCCCACAGAAATACAAACTACCATCAGAGAATACTACAAACACCTCTATGCAAATAAACTAGAAAATCTAGAAGATATGGATAAATTCCTCGACACATACACTCTCCCAAGACTAAACCAGGAAGAAGTTGAATCTCTGAATAGACCAATAACAGGATCTGAAATTGTGGCAATAACCAATAGCTTACCAACCAAAAAGACTCCAGGACCAGATGGATTCACAGCCGAATTCTACCAGAGGTACAAGGAGGAACTGGTACCATTCCTTCTGAAACTATTCCAATCAATAGAAAAAGAGGGAATCCTCCCTAACTCATTTTATGAGGCCAGCATCATCCTGATACCAAAGCTGGGCAGAGACACAACCAAAAAAGAGAATTTTAGACCAATATCCTTGATGAACATTGATGCAAAAATCCTCAATAAAATACTGGCAAACCAAATCCAGCAGCACATCAAAAAGCTTATCCACCATGATCAAGTGGGCTTCATCACTGGGATGCAAGGCTGGTTCAATATACGCAAATCAATAAATGTAATCCAGCATATAAACAGAACCAAAGACAAAAACCACATGATTATCTCAATAGATGCAGAAAAGGCCTTTGACAAAATTCAACAACGCTTCATGCTAAAAACTCTCAATAAATTAGGTATTGATGGGACGTATTTCAAAATAATAAGAGCTATCTATGAGAAACCCACAGCCAATATCATACTGAATGGGCAAAAACTGGAAGCATTCCCTTTGAAAACTGGCACAAGACAGGGATGCCCTCTCTCACCACTCCTATTCAACATAGTGTTGGAAGTTCTGGCCAGGGCACTCAGGCAGGAGAAGGAAATAAAGGGTATTCAATTAGGAAAAGAGGAAGTCAAATTGTCCCTGTTTGCAGACGACATGATTGTATATCTAGAAAACCCCATTGTCTCAGCCCTAAATCTCCTTAAGCTGATAAGCAACTTCAGCAAAGTCTCAGGATACAAAATCAATGTACAAAAATCACAAGCATTCTTATATACCAACAACAGACAAACAGAGAGCCAAATCATGAGTGAACTCACATTCACAATTGCTTCAAAGAGAATAAAATACCTAGGAATCCAACTTATAAGGGATGTGAAGGACCTCTTCAAGGAGAACTACAAACCACTGCTCAAGGAAATAAAAGAGGATACAAACAACTGGAAGAACATTCCATGCTCATGGGTAGGAAAAATCAATATCGTGAAAATGGCCATACTGCCCAAGGTAATTTACAGATTCAATGCCATCCCCATCAAGCTACCAATGACTTTCTTCACAGAATTGGAAAAAACTACTTTAAAGTTCATATGGAACCAAAAAAGAGCCTGCATCGCCAAGTCAATCCTAAGCCAAAAGAACAAAGCTGGAGGCATCACACTACCTGACTTCAAACTATACTACAAGGCTACAGTAACCAAAACAGCATGGTACTGGTACCAAAACAGAGATATAGATCAATGGATCAGAACAGAGCCCTCAGAAATAACGCCAAATATCTACAACTATCTGATCTTTGACAAACCTGAGAAAAACAAGCAATGGGGAAAGGATTCCCTATTTACTAAATGGTGCTGGGAAAACTGGTGAGCCATATGAAGAAAGCTGAAACTGGATCCCTTCCTTACACCTTATACAAAAATCAATTCAAGATGGATTAAAGACTTAAACATTAGACCTAAAACCATAAAAACCCTAGAAGAAAACCTAGGCATTACCATTCAGGACATAGGCATGGGCAAGGACTTCATGTCTAAAACACCAAAAGCAATGGCAACAAAAGACAAAATTGACAAATTGGATCTAATTAAACTAAACAGCTTCTGCACAGCAAAAGAAATGACCATCAGAGTGAACAGGCAACCTACAAAATGGGAGAAACTTTTCGCAACCTACTCATCTGACAAAGGGCTAATATCCAGAATCTACAATGAACTCAAACAAATTTACAAGAAAAAAACAAACAACCCCATCAAAAAGTGGGCAAAGGACATAAACAGACACTTCTCAAAAGAAGACATTTATGCAGCCAAAAAAACACATGAAAAAATTCTCACCATCACTGGCCATCAGAGAAATGCAAATCAAAACCACAATGAGATACCATCTCACACCAGTTAGAATGGCAATCATTAAAAAGTCAGGAAACAACAGGTGCTGGAGAGGATGTGGAGAAATAGGAACACTTTTACACTGTTGGTGGGACTGTAAACTAGTTCAACCACTGTGGAAGTCAGTGTGGTGATTCCTCAGGGTTCTAGAACTAGAAATACCATTTGACCCGGCCATCCCATTACTGGGTATATACCCAAAGGACTATAAATCATGCTGCTATAAAGACACATGCACACGTATGTTTATTGCGGCATTATTCACAATAGCAAAGACTTGGAACCAACCCAAATGTCCAACAATGATAGACTGGATTAAGAAAATGTGGCACATATACACCATGGAATACTATGCAGCCATAAAAAATGATGAGTTCATGTCCTTTGTAGGGGCATGGGTGAAATTGGAAATCATCATTCTCAGTAAACTATCGCAAGAACAAAAAACCAAACACCGCATATTCTCACTCATAGGTGGGAATTGAACAATGAGAACATATGGACACAGGAAGGGGAACATCACACTCTGGGGACTGTTGTGGGTTGGGGGGAGGGGGCAGGGATAGCATTGGGAGATATACCTAATGCTAGATGACGAGTTAGTGGGTGCAGCACACCAGCATGGCACATGTATACATATGTAACTAACCTGCACATTGTGCACATGTACCCTAAAACTTAAAGTATAATAATAATAAATAAAAAATTTAAAAAAATAAATAAAATAAAATTATTAGAGTAGTAAATGGTGCTTTCAAACATGAAAGTAGTAAAAGTTTTAAGTACAAATGATTGATTCAGCTACCCAGGAGACAAAAATTTACAGTTAATATCAAAGTGAAGTCAACAGCAAGTTCACTGTAGATAAGCCTTTGAAATGTTTTTTGAGAATACTTAACAAGCCAAATCCAGTCAAGCTGACACTATATTATATATTAATGTATTGTTAAGAAAACTCAAGGAAGTGCAGAAGAGGTTTATGAATGTCTTTAATGTTATTTTATGTGTCTAAATTTTGTTTTAGCTTTGTCAAAAGTTTAAAGGCAACATCCTGGAGCCAGTGAAGAGGTATGTAAGCCCTTAGGTATGTAGCCCTCTATATATGAAAAAAAGATTTTGAAAGTATATACCTAATAATTCCATATTAACTATGTGTATAACTACATATTAGTGGAAACAAACGTACAGCAAGATTTCACAATACTTATCCATAAATTGTGAGAATCCAAGTAATCTTCCATAGTTTTTCTGCCTTTTCTTATTCTCTTATTTTTTTCTAAATAACCATTACTTATTTCTATAAAGTGCTAAAATCAATAAAAGATTTTTATTCATCTGAAAGTAGGGCAAATCTGTTTTCTTTTTGTTTACAAAACCTTTTTCATTTGGGCAGGTGCCATGGCTCACACCTGTAATCCCAGCACTTTGGGAGGCTGAGGCGGTCAGATCACGAGGTCAGTAGTTCGAGACTAGCCTGGCCAATATAATGAAACCCCATCTCTACTAAAAATACAAAAAATTAGCAGGGTGTGGTGGCAGGCGCCTATAATCCCAGCTACTCGGGAGGCTGAGGCAGGAGAATCGCTTGAATCCTGGAGGTGGAGGTTGCAGTGAGCTGAGATCGCGCCATTGCACTCCATCCCCTGGATCTAGCAGATGGCTCTAACTTCTGAATATACGGAGTCTAAGAAAAAAATCATTAGGGTCTGTATGCATATT
Organism: Homo sapiens; assembly: GCF_000001405.40. NCBI lineage: Eukaryota > Metazoa > Chordata > Mammalia > Primates > Hominidae > Homo > Homo sapiens. The sequence goes on from NC_000005.10 coordinate 85,645,527, forward strand.
ATACATTTGCTAAGGTATGGCCAAAGCAGTATCCCAGCCTGACATGTCAGCTGTCTGGATATTCTGTTCCATGTGCAATTGCTGGAGGTTACTTTTCGGATTTCTTCAGATGTCTTCAAAAGAGTGTCACAAAAATCCCCTTTCCTCAATTGAGAAATATCCAACTATCTCTCAACTATTGTGCTATAGCATCATCAATATATCAGATAGAAATGCAAAGCTTCTGACTCAATGTTCAAAATGTAATAGTTTTAAAGGCCAACATTTGTTCTACTAGATCCCATAGAAGAATCAGTCTGATGACAAAGAGTGAAATGAAGGCCGGATTTCAGCTCTCTCACCTTCCACAACTATATATAGTGTTCCTTATAATTTACTTCCTAAAACAGAGTTTTGAAAGTTTGTTGGTGATGAAAATCCACAGCAAGTCAACTTACATTGCTATCTTTCCAGGACAGAAGACTGAATATTATTCATTTAAAATTTTGAGAACATATGGCCAGACATGGTAGCTCATGCCTGTAATCCCAGTACTCTGGGAGGCAGAGGCAGAGGCAGGAGAATCATTTGAGGTCAGGAGTTCGAGACCAGCCTGGGCAACATGGCGAAACCCTCTCTCTACAGAACATACAAAAATTAGCCGAGCCTGGTGCAGTGAGCTTGTAGTCCCAGCTACTTGTGAGGCTAAGGTGAGAGGTTCGCTTGAGCCCAGCAGGCGGAGGTTGCAGTGAGCTGAGATGGTGTCACCGCACTCCAGCCTGGGCAACACAGGGATTCCCTGTCTCATAAATAAACAAATAAGTTTTGAGAACATAGCCTGTATGTAATTGGGAATAAGCATCAGAAATTTTGACTTAGGCACGTAATAAGTTAGGTGTAATTAAATAGAAGTTAAAAGTTAAAAAATATATTAGTAACAAATTATGAAGCAGCTAACAAAGTAAATAATGCACAATGCAAACTTTTGTGTAAAAGAATGATGCACCAATGCATGATTAATAAAACAAGTTCATACAGGAAAATAATCATGAAATATAATTATTATGTAATATAAATAAATCATGTTATTTAATGCTTATTTATTATGTTACATCTACTTTAATATCCAAGTGTTTGCTGTTTTATGAAGAGATCCTGATTCTTCTTGCCTGCATGATAATTTATGCCATTTCTTTCCTTTTCTCCCCAGTCTCACCTTCTGCGTCTCTCTTTGACTTCTGTCTTTTCCAGTCTCTCTCTCATTTTCTTCTTCTATCTCTGTCTGTCTGCAAGACAGACAGCTTTGGCTCTCTCACACTGTCCACTTTTATCTTGGCTGTCTGCTTTGGCTCTGTGGCTCCTACTGCCCCATGCCTCCAGCTGCACAGCCAGCTGTCTCCTTGCTTTCAGGGTCAGCAGCTTAACTCTTTCTCTCTCTGGCGGTCTATATTTGCCATTTCCTCCCCTTTCTCTTTCCAATTTCCTTTCTTACTTTTTCTCTTTCTCCCTTTCAAGGAGGACATAGGGGCTAATTCCTAGGTCCAACAGAGAGCATAATGTATCTGCTCTTGTGAGGATGGAGTTTTATTATGCACATAGAGAATTAAAGCTTGGCACACTCAATCCTCATCTGAGCCAAACTTAACCAAAAAACTGAAGGCTTATGAATGGGGTCTTTGGGTCAGATAAACTGCAGTACTTTAGCCTCTTTTGCTTTTCCTTGTTCCTGGTTCGAGGGTTGTTCTTCCAAACCTGCAACATTTTCCCCAAAGGACTATCCGGGGAAATGTCAGGAGTCTCTTTGACTCCCTCTTTCCTTTGTCCCCTAGGCCTGGAATTCTTGTCTCCCATTTTCAGCCAGTCTCTGTGTCTGAGTTTTTTCCTGTGTACCCAACCCCTCTTACTGGAGGTTTTCTGCACACCCTGAGGACCTCCGAAAATACCCCACCAAAGCGGTACTTATAGTCCAAGTTTCCTACCTTGGCTGGTGCACGAGGTTGCCTGTTTGCCGCAGTGCCTGCTTTTCTCCCTGCGTCACCTCCACCGTCTCCTGAATAACAGTCTCGGGTTTATCTATGGCTTCTGTGGGGAGCCAGGACACCCAGACAGAGTGGGGCACAAAAATCGGGTGGGACATGTCTCTTCTCTCAGCCGGAGTCCCACTCCACGTAGGCACAGAGATCCCGAACGGGCCCTCAGGTTGTGAGAAACACACTCACCCGTTCAAACCCAAAGAATGGACTTAGAGGCACGAAGAACAGTGAAAATGAGACTTTTTATAACGGTCTTGTAACATCGGGTGTCTGGGACGACGCACCTGGGTCAGTCACAACAGGTAATTTATCTCCGGTACGCAAGTCCCTCCCCTAGTTCCTCATTGGTTGAGTACTATGGGGTTACAACCTTCCCGGATGACACTAAGTTTCATTATCCTCCTTATAAGGTTATAACCCATCGCCTTCCCCGCTTAAGTTTCAATTTCCCAATAATGAAACTTTCTTCTCTTTTATGGGCTGACCCCTCCTCTACATTCTGTTTACTTATTGTGACCTTCTAAGGTGCATGGGCCGTGCTGTTTGTTACATTTGCAGGCTGGCTGCCGTTACTTAGATTTATCATGCCTTGAAAATGGACCATTTAAAATGTTTTCTCACAGAACTCACTTCTACTTCCATTCTTTTTCAATATTACTTGCTATAAAAGTTTCCTAATTTACTTTAAATCCTTCCACACATTAGAAACAATGTCTTCGTCCTCTGTAAACCGTTGCAAAGTATATGGCTCTACTGAGTATAATATTTTAATATCTTCCTAATTTATTTTTTGTGTCTACTAAATTGTTAAATTTTCAGAGCAAGAACTCTGTCCCACCTAGAATAAAGCTGAAAACATCACACACATAATTACTGTTTTACAAATAAATAACTGAAATGTATTTTGTCAAAGGAATTGTACAACTGAGATAAATAAGTAATTTGTCCTAGTTATTGACTGTCCTTTTAATGTTTGCATAATTTTTGGCTGCCCAACTTCATTTGAATACTCTTCTGAGGTTTAATTTTCTAAAGGAGTCAGAATCTTCCCTCCCTAATTTATCTTTCATCTAGATTATAAACACATGATACAGCCAGTCACTCACATTGTTTTGAGACTACATCTTGGGAGGGAGCGGCAGCAGCAGGCGAGCTGGCATTCACTGAACAGCCTCACTAGCATGAGCTCTGTATCTGAATATAGTGGGTACAGTGCAGTGTAGTATTAGCTGGAGTAACTCCTCGTTTTCCCTGGCTATAGAGCCCTCAAGCCTGACTGTTATAACCCAGGGTCTTTTTGGTCATCAGACATAATAATTCTTGGTGTATTTCTTTACTCTTCGAATTGTTCAAAATTGGGTCTATTGCTTTCAACTAAAAACCTGATTAGACATATAACTATTGACACTGGGTTTGACAACAAACTATACTGTTCAAGGTGAAGATGTCAAACGTAAAGAGTAGAAATGAACACACGAAATTTAAAACCTGAGAAAATAAATTGCCATGATGTGTAGTTTCACAAATAAAGCAAAAAAAAAAACTATCTTAATTTAAAAATAATAGTCTTTGAAAGAGTTCTCTATGGGATTCTTAATTGGCACATGAATTAATCGCATTTTAACTATTGAAATAAATAACAAATTTGGCAATTTAAACAACCATTGGTTTGGGAAGAACATTAGCTGGGATGATGTTTAAAGACAAAAAACTGATTCATATTTTAGTTCCCTTGTTAAAAAGTTAGACCCTAAAGGAGCAATTTCACTCATACAGAACCTTGTGAAATTTTACTATTTACTACCCTAACTTATTGTTTGTTCCTAGTTAATTAGATAACTAGTCTAACTAGTCTATATGTTAATCAATTAATGTCTAGCTATATTCATTTCCGAGGTTTATATCTTGCATAATCATTTCATTAAACTTACAAAATGCCTTAGAACATAAAATCAGGTATTTTACTCAATAATTGACTAAATGATATTTTATTCCTTCTTTATTCATCTGAGTAGTTATAAATGCAAGAGAATGTAGTGACCCATTTAATTGTCTTAATTTTTTTTGTATTTTGTGGTTTTACTTTCTTCCTACTACAATAATTGACTAATAATATTTTATTAAATAGATTGACTCAATAATTAACATTTTGTTCCTTCTTTATTCATCTGAGTAGTTATAAGTGAAAGAGAATGTAGTGACCCATTGTCTTAAACTTTTTTGTATTTTGTGGTTTTACTCTTTCTTCCCACTACGCTCTCTTCTTAGCTGTACATTCTTTTTACCAATTAGCCTTGCACTATTATATAGTGGGGAAGATCATTTTTTATTTGGTTTTATTATTGTAAACCAGAATCCTGTTTTTCAGTTATGTTTTATGTACCCCAAGAATTTATACCTCTTATAGACCATCTTTCTTTTCCTTTTTACTCACCGAAGGAACCTCTCTGACTAATAGCCCCTCCTTCAAGCAACAGTGGCTTTGGTTCTTGCAGTTGAAAACTTTTATCTTTATTTTTTGTTAAGTTTGTTGTGAGAACAATTTTAAAAGTTTCCATAAAGATGCTGTCTTTCTTAGTAAAAATGATCCTATCCTCCAGAAATTAGATTCAAGATATGATTGGATAGTGGGCTTACTCTGCTATTTTGCTGTCTGTGTCTATTGTTTTTCCCTATATTACAGATGTACAGTTGACTCAAGTCTATCACTTTTACTAAAATGAGTCTTTTAAAAATATTTTTTAAAGATGACACATCAAGTGTGAAGTGATTGGGAAGAAATAATTAGAGAGTCACAAAGTGAAAATTAATAGAGAAATCTGAAGTGTTATAGCAAGTATATTATTATTAGAAAATCAAAGTGTTTGATTTTTAAACAAAGTTTAAGATAGGCTCTTTCTTTTGCTGTCCTTCTTAGAAGGCCCTGTTACTTTTAGCCCTGTTCCACTGTTCCAAGACCTACAACCACATGAGTGCCTTTTCTGGTTGCAAGTCAGCAAGGGGGATTAGAAAGAATATCTCAACTTGGAAGTCATTAACTGACAGGTGGGGCCCTTCTGGACCTTGGTTATGTCACTACTGAGCGTCTCCTTTACCATAGCAGAATTGTCAGTGAAGACTTTGGGTTGCCCCCTGTTTATCCCCTTTCAAAGAGTACCTAATGTAGAATAATTTTGAATCATGTAGACGTTATTAGCTTGTATTAGTGAAGTTGCACATTGGGTCATAATTCTCTGAAACTGAAGTTACCTAGAGGGTGTAGTGTTCACAGAACTTTTATAAAATAAAGTAGGAATTCTCTGAGATTATTTGATGGAAGAAGACACAATTGTAGTGAGAAGTTATTGAGTCTGAAGTCAAGAAGTTGTATAAAAAACCCTGACAACATCACTTAAAATCAAAGCTTTAGTTTTTTAAATTTACACAATACAGAGCGTAGATCTTGTTATTTGCAACATGCTAGAGGTGAATACCACATACGCTATAGAAATGTTGTGAATCTCAAATGAGATAAAAATTTCCATTTTCATAAGAAAATGGAAAGCAGTGATGGAAAACTTTTTCTGGAAAGACCAGATAGTAAGAATTTTTGTTTTGGTTCTAGACTCTGTTGCAAATGTTCAACTCTGCCACTGTAGCTCCAAGGTAGCTAGAGACACTCTGTAAAGGGATTGGCATGGTGTGTTCAGTAAACTTTATGTACAATGAAATTAGAATTCCATATCATTTTTATATGTTACAAAAGGTCATTCTTCTCTTTAAAGTTTTCAAGCATCCAAAAATTTAAAAACATTCTTAGTTTTCAAGCTAATGAAAATAAAAAAACAGCAGCTATTAGCCTTTGGCCTATAGGCTGTAGTTTTGCTGACCACTGAGGTAAAGCATTATGAATGTTGATATACTAGCTTCCCATGGTTTCCTCATATGCTTAGAATACAAATAGATCAGGTCTTCCAATTCAATCCAATAATTATTTGAACTTTTGTATGTTTAACATGCTCTCCACACTGGGGAGTGGAAGTGGAAATCACAGAGCCACATAAAATGGCTATTACTTTTAGAACGAGTATAACAATGCAACTGAGGAGACTACAGGGAAAATCAAGGGTATTGTTACCGGTGGAGGGTGTCCAGGTTCTTGATGTCTTATAAAAAGAATTGGACAAAACACACAAACAAGGCAAGAAAAGAATGAAGCAACAAAAGCAGAGATTTATTGAAAACAGAAGTACACTCCACAGTGTGGGAGCAGCCAGAGCACAGGGGCTCAAGGGCACTGTTACAGAATTTGTGGGGGTTTAAATAGCCTCTAGAGGTTTCCATTGGTTATGTGGTGTATGCCCTATGTAAATGAAGAGGATTAAGTAAAGTTGCAAAGTCATGTACTCAGTGTATGTCCTATGTAAATTGAGAGGATATTTCCTGTCATAGCTGAAGTGTTTTCATTTGATTTAGTTCCAAGAAGTCAGCATGAATCCGCCTTATGTTCCCTGCCTGCAGACTCTATTCTCCTGCCCCAGTAAGAAGCAGAATATGATATATATTATATACAAATTATATATATAATTTATATATTTTATATATTAAATTTATATAATTTATAAAATTCTATAATTTATATAATTTATATATATAATTTATATATATAAAATATTTATATATAAATTATATATAACATATTTATATATAATTTATATATATATAAAATATTTATATATAATTTATATATAACATATTTATATATAATTTATATATATAATATATATAATTTATATATATAACATATTTATATATAATTTATATATATAACATATTTATATATATTTTTATATATAAAATATTTATATATAATTTATATATATAAAATATTTATATATAATTTATATATATATATAAAATTTAAGTTTGTTGTTAGAAGAATTAAAACAGTTCCATTGGAGATGCTGTCTTAGTAAAAATTATCCTTTCCTCCAGAAATTAGATTCAAGGTATGATTTAATAGCAGTCTTACGCTAATATTTTGCCATATTTGTCAGTTGTGTATACACACACACACACACACACAAATTTAAAACATAATAAGACCATGAAACGGCAAAGACAGAAAAATTCAATTGCCATTACAGAGATTGAGAGCCAATGGCATAAAAACTGGCCTTCCTTAGTCTCATCCTTCCAAATGTTTCTTTTATGTAGTGATTAAAGGAATATTCATAGCCTTAGTCTTTTTCCTCAATAAATATAATTTTTCATTCTGATGTTTGAAAACATCTATCACTTCTGAGTTCTACAATTGAGTTCACAATTCAATAACTTTAGTTCCTGCATGACAGTGTGGTGAGTAATTGTATCAACTCTGTCTCCAACATAGTGTTAAAAATCAATTAATATGAGGTGATGAGTTAATTTAGAAACAAAAGAGAGAAATTCTGACTTTTAATTAGAATGAGAACTATATAATTTATACACAAGGTATAATATTCATATTCAAAGAAATAATGGAAAATTTTATTAATATTTTGTAAATACATTAAGGTGAAATTATAAAAATTAATAACCATTTACCAGTGCTGATTTCTTCATAATGAATTTAAAAAATATATGCATACTATAGAGAATATAGTATTTGAAACAGATAAAAATTGTGATAGATATTATCCATATTAGTAATTATTTTCTAAAAACTTTGAAATTACCTTGTCTTCAGTTTCAGATTTTAAAATAATAATAGTAATAAGATGCTGATAGTAAATACAAAATAAGTACATAGTAAATAAATTAAAAACAATGAATAAGGAAATTGTAATTGATATTTACAACAGATTAAAAATGATACTAATTTTCTCCAATGCAAAAAGAGTTTCAGAATGAGTTAATTATGCAATTACTTAGTTTTCTTATTTTTCAATGTCAAGTAGTTGAAGAAAAATGTAAAGAAATCAATAATGTGACCACTTGGTGCAAGTCGATTAAAAAAAAAGAAAATCTAGTAAAGCCTGAACCATAACCAATCTAGCCATCATAATGATGACAATGATTTACATAATAAAGAGTCAAAATTTGGTGTAATTTTATATTTATTTATATAAGCTTCTTAGATTTAATGCTCTTAGATAAAAATGGCCTTAGCACCAAATCAGAGATGTTAGGTTACTTGGAGTTCACATAAACAACAAATTGGAAAACCTTATATATATGTATAGATTAAACAGGCCATAGCCCATGTTTGTAAAATCTTTCTGTCCCAGCATCACTGTTTCTTACAACTAAAGATTGAAACCTTAGAATAAATTTTACATTCAAAAACTACACAAGCAACATGAATTAACCTGCAAAGTACTCTTTATAATAGGAAAAAAACAAGCGAAATCCTATCACTATCATTACTCATCTATATCAGTGTTTCTCAAAATTTGTTACAAAAATAATACATATACAGGTATTTAAAAAGACCCTGCAACTGATCCTTACACAGTTTCCTAAAAATGGAAATAATACATATATATGCATACATATTTCCTCTTTCTATGCATATACATGATACATATATGTATATATGCCTATGTATATACACACATATAGATATGGTTTGGCTGTGTCCCCACCTATATCTTATCTTGAATTTTAACTCCCACAATTCCCACGTGTTGTGGGAGGAACCCAGTGGGAGGTGATTGAATTATGGGAGTGGGTCTTTCCTCTGCTGTTCTGGTGATAGTGAATGAGTCTCGTGAGATCTGACATTTTTAAAAACAGGAGTTCCCTGCACAAGCTCTCTCTTTATCTTCTGCCATCCTTGTAAGACGTGACTTCCTCCTCCTTGTCTTTCACCTTCTGCCATGATTGTGAGGCCTCCCCAACCACAAAGAAGTTTAAGTCTAATAAACCTCTTTCTTTTGTAAATTGCTCAGTCTTGGGTATGTCTTTATCAGCAGTGTGAAAACAGACTAATACAGTAAATTGGTACCAGTAGAGTGGGGCATTGCTGAAAAGATACCCAAAATGTGGAAGCAACTTAGGAACTGGGTAACAGGCAGACTTTGCAACAGTTTGGAGGGCTCAGGAGAAGAGAGAAAAATGTGGGAAAGTTTGGAACTTCCTAGAGAATAAGGTCCAGGCTGAGATGGTCTCAGATGGAGATGAAGAACTTTTGGGGAACTGAAGCAAAGGTGACTCTTGTTATGTTTTAACAAAGAAACTGGCAGCATTTTGCCCCTGCCCTAGAGATTTGTGGAAGTTTGAACTTGAGAGAGATGATTTAGGGTATCTGGCAGAAGAAATTTCTAAGCAGAAAAGCATTCAAGAGGTGACTTGGGTGCTGTTAAAGGCATTCAGTTTTATTAGGAAATCAGAGTTCAAAAGTTTGGAAAATTTGCAGCCTGACACTGCAAAAGAAAACAAATTCCCATTTTCTGAGGAGAAATTCAAGCCAACTGCAGAAATTTGCATAGGTAACTAGAAGCCCAATGTTAATCACCAAGAAATGGAGAAAATGTCTCCAGGACATGTCAGAGGTCTTCACAGCAGCCCCTCCCACCACAGACCCAGAGGCATAGGAAGAAAACATGGTTTCCTGGGTCCAGCCCAGGGTCCCTGTGCTGTGTGCAGCCTAGTGGTTTGGTGCCCTGTGTCTCAGCTGCTCCAGCTGTGGCTGAAAGGGGCCAATGTAGAGTTAGGGCCATGGCTTTGGAGGGTGCAAGCCCCAAGCCTTGGCAGCTTCCACATGGTGTTGAGCCTTAGAGTGCACAGAAGTCAAGAATTGGGGTTTGGGAACCTCTGCCAAGATTTCAGAAGATGTATAGAAATGCCTGGATGCCCAAGCAGAAGTTTGCTGTAGGGGCAGGGCCTTCATGGAGAACCTCTGCTAGGGAATGCAGAAGGGAAATGTGGGGTCAGAGCCCCCACACAGAGTCCCTGCTAGGGCACACCTAGTGGAACTGTAAGAAGAGGGCCACCATTCTCCAGGCCCCAGAATGATCTACTGACAGATTTCCCCGTGTGTCCAGAAAAGCCACAGACATTTAACTCCAGCCTGTGAAAGCAGCCAGGAGGGAGGCTGTACCCTGCAGAGCCACAGAAGCAGAGCTGCCTAAGACTATGTGAACCCACCTTTTGCATCAGTGTGACCTGATGTGAGACATGGCATCAAAGGAGATCATTTTGGACTTCTAAGAATTGACTGCCCTCCTGGATTTCAGACTTGCACGGGGCCTCTAGCCCCTTTTTTTTAGCTAATTTCTCCAATTTTGAATGACTGTGTTTACCTAATTCCTGTACCCTAATTCTATCTAGGAAGTAACTGACTTGTTTTTGATTTTGCAGGCTTTTAGGCCAAAGGAACTTGCCTTGTTTCAGATGAGATGTTGGACTGTGGACTTTTGAGTTAATGATGAAGTAAATTAAGACTTTGGGGGATTGTTGGGAAGGCATGATTCATTTTGAAATGTGAGGACATCAGATTTGGGAGGGGCCAGGGGCAGAATTATATGGTTTAGCTGCGTCCCCACCCATATCTCATCTTGCATTATAACTCCCACAATTCCCACATGCTGTGGGAGAAACCTAGTGGGAAGTAATTGAATTATGGGTATGGGTCTTTCTTCGGCTGTTCTCATGATAATGAATGAATCTCATGAGATCTGACGTTTTTAAAAATGGGAGTTCCCTGCACAAGCTCTCTCTTTGCCTGCTGCCATCCATGTAAAGAGTGACTTGCTCCTCTTTGCCTTTCACCTTCTGCCATGATTGTGAGGCCTCCTCAGCCATGTGGAATTGTAAATCCAATAAACCTCTTTCTTTTGTAAATTGCCCAGTCTTGGGTATGTCTTTATCAGCATTGTGAAAATTGATGAATACACCTATATATAAGTACCACATATATAGTTCTCATGTTAAGGTGAATCGAAATTTCCTGGGGCCAGAAATAGGTATTTAAAAAGACCCTGCAACTGATCCTTACACAGTTTCCTAAAAATGGAAATAATACTATGAATAGCATTTATCCACACGTAGGTGGGGTACATGTTTTGTCAATAATTCATCATAGATTTTTGGATTATCTAAGTAAGGGTGATGCTAACAATCAACCGTTATTTCAGTACTAGGATCACTGACTTTTTTTCCCCAACAAAATAGAGTTTATAACCTCGAATGTGGATGAGAACAAGAAACTACTGAAAATTGGAATTGCTGTATTTTATTGTCTATACAAATTCTTACAGGTAAATATAAATTTCTTGTTAGTAAAAATATATCTATGAGTAAAATAATATGAGTAAAAATGGAATATAAGCTATTGATCACATTTTAAGTATTAAAAATAGCTTGCACACATAGAATTTTGAGAGAAAACTATTGAAATGTTTTAATTGATTACATAATCAATAAAAGATGACTCAATTTGTAATCCACTGGATATCTTCGGGCTTCAATCTCTTTGTCTTTAAAATTAGGCCAGGATTATTCTAGGGAATATCTAAAATTTCTATCAGTTTTTATCATCAATGATCCTATGATTCAACTCACCCTTAACTATTGCTCCTCCCTTCCCAAGAATCTCCATAAAGTAGCTTAAAATTTTCTTGCTTTGTGTAGCTAGCTTATTAGCCTTTCATATTGAGAACTAGTATTACGTCTAGTAATCACCAGCGTTTTTCTTGGTTTAATGATGTCCATAGAAATGCTTGCTGGAAATGCTCAATGATATTGACCCTCTTGATGAATGTAGATTACTTAAATACTTACATTTTTACTATACTTATGATCACATAAATGAAGATATATCAATTATTAGGTACTGTAAATACACTAATTTAAGCCAAGTAGTCTCAGTCACCCGTTCTTCACAGTAGAGTGTCATGGGTCTCTACTGCCCATTTTAGGGGATTAGATTTCTGAATGTATGTTTTGCAACTGAAGAACCACCATAGAACTTAAAGATTTATATTTAAAAAAAAAGGAAAGCTTTATTTTATTTATTTATTTATTTATTTATTTATTTATTTATTTATTTTGTGGATGGCAAAGTCTTAGGGTAGCCATGGTCAAAACCACAATTTTTTTTTTTTTATTATACTTTAAGTTTTAGGGTACATGTGCACATTGTGCAGGTTAGTTACATATGTATACATGTGCCATGCTGGTGTGCTGCACCCACTAACTCATCATTTAGCATTAGGTATATCTCCCAATGCTATCCCTCCCCCCTCCCCCCACCCAACAACAGTCCCCAGAGTGTGATATTCCCCTTCCTGTGTCCATGTGATCTCATTGTTCGATTCCCACCTATGAGTGAGAATATGCGGTGTTTGGTTTTTTGTTCTTGCGATAGTTTACTGAGAATGATGATTTCCAATTTCATCATGTCCCTACAAAGGACATGAGCTCCTCATTTTTTATGGCTGCATAGTATTCCATGGTGTATATGTGCCACATTTTCTTAATCCAGTCTATCATTGTTGGACATTTGGGTTGGTTCCAAGTCTTTGCTATTGTGAATAATGCCGCAATAAACATACGTGTGCATGTGTCTTTATAGCAGCATGATTTATAGTCCTTTGGGTATATACCCAGTAATGGGATGGCCGGGTCAAATGGCATTTCCAGTTCTAGATCCCTGAGGAATCGCCACACTGACTTCCACAGTGGTTGAACTAGTTTACAGTCCCACCAACAGTGTAAAAGTTTTCCTATTTCTTCACATCCTCTCCAGCACCTGTTGTTTCCTGACTTTTTAATGATTGCCATTCTAACTGGTGTGAGATGGTATCTCATTGTGGTTTTGATTTGCATTTCTCTGATGGCCAGTGATGATGAGCATTTTTTCATGTGTTTTTTGGCTGCATAAATGTCTTCTTTTGAGAAGTGTCTGTTCATGTCCTTCGCCCACTTTTTGATGGGGTTGTTTGTTTTTTTCTTGTAAATTTGTTTGAGTTCATTGTAGATTCTGGATATTAGCCCTTTGTCAGATGAGTAGGTTGCGAAAAGTTTCTCCCATTTTGTAGGTTGCCTGTTCACTCTGATGGTAGTTTCTTTTGCTGTGCAGAAGCTGTTTAGTTTAATTAGATCCAATTTGTCAATTTTGTCTTTAGTTGCCATTGCTTTTGGTGTTTTAGACATGAAGTCCTTGCCCATGCCTATGTCCTCAGTGGTAATGCCTAGGTTTTCTTCTAGGGTTTTTATGGTTTTAGGTCTAATGTTTAAGTCTTTAATACATCTCGAATTGATTTTTGTATAAGGTGTAAGGAAGGGATCCAGTTTCAGCTTTCTACATATGGCTAGCCAGTTTTCCCAGCACCATTTAGTAAATAGGGAATCCTTTCCCCATTGCTTGTTTTTCTCAGGTTTGTCAAAGATCAGATAGTTGTAGATATGCGGCGTTATTTCTGAGGGCTCTGTTCTGTTCCATTGATCTAGATCTCTGTTTTGGTACTAGTACCATGCTGTTTTGGTTACTGTAGCCTTGTAGTATAGTTTGAAGTCAGGTAGTGTGATGCCTCCAGCTTTGTTCTTTTGGCTTAGGATTGACTTGGCGATGCAGGCTCTTTTTTGGTTCCATATGAACTTTAAAGTAGTTTTTTCCAATTCTGTGAAGAAAGTCATTGGTAGCTTGATGGGGATGGCATTGAATCTGTAAATTACCTTGGGCAGTATGGCCATTTTCACGATATTGATTCTTCCTACCCAAGAGCATGGAGTGTTCTTCCAAGTTGTTTGTATCCTCTTTTATTTCCTTGAGCAGTGGTTTGTAGTTCTCCTTGAAGAGGTCCTTCACATCCCTTGTAAGTTGGATTCCTAGGTATTTTATTCTCTATGAAGCAATTGTGAATGGGAGTTCACTCATGATTTGGCTCTCTGTTTGTCTGTTGTTGGTGTATAAGAATGCTTGTGATTTTTGTACATTGATTTTGTATCCTGAGACTTTGCTGAAGTTGCTTATCAGCTTAAGGAGATTTAGGGCTGAGACAATGGGGTTTTCTAGATATACGATCATGTCATCTGCAAACAGGGACAATTTGACTTCCTCTTTTCCTAATTGAATACCCTTTATTTTCTTCTCCTGCCTGAGTGCCCTGGCCAGAACTTCCAACACTATGTTGAATAGGAGTGGTGAGAGAGGGCATCCCTGTCTTGTGCCAGTTTTCAAAGGGAATGCTTCCAGTTTTTGCCCATTCAGTATGATATTGGCTGTGGGTTTGTCATAGATAGCTCTTATTATTTTGAAATACGTCCCATCAATACCTAATTTATTGAGAGTTTTTAGCGTGAAGCGTTGTTGAATTTTGTCAAAGGCTTTTTCTGCATCTATTGAGATAATCATGTGGTTTTTGTCTTTGGCTCTGTTTATATGCTGGATTACATTTATTGATTTGCGTATATTGAACCAGCCTTGCATCCCAGTGATGAAGCCCACTTGATCATGGTGGATAAGCTTTTTGATGTGCTGCTGGAGTCATTTTGCCAGTATTTTATTGAGGATTTTTGCGTCAATGTTCATCAAGGATATTGGTCTGAAATTCTCTTTTTTGGTTGTGTCTCTGCCTGGCTTTGATATCAGAATGATGCTGGCCTCATAAAATGAGTTAGGGAGGATTCCCTCTTTTTCTATTGATTGGAATAGTTTCAGAAGGAATGGTACCAGTTCCTCCTTGTACCTCTGGTAGAATTCGGCTGGGAATCCATCTGGTCCTGGAGTCTTTTTGGTTGGTAAGCTATTGATTATTGCCACAATTTCAGATCCTGTTATTGGTCTATTCAGATATTCAACTTCTTCCTGGTTTAGTCTTGGGAGAATGTATGTGTTGAGGAATTTATCCATATCTTCTAGATTTTCTAGTTTATTTGCATAGAGGTGTTTGTAGTATTCTCTGATGGTAGTTTGTATTTCTGTGGGATGGGTGGTGATATCCCCTTTATCATTTTTTATTGGGTCTATTTGATTCTTCTCTTTTTTTTCTTTATTAGTCTTGCTAGCGGTCTATCAATTTTGTTGATCCTTTCAAAAATCCAGCTCCTGGATTCATTAATTTTTTGAAGGTTTTTTTGTGTCTCTATTTCCTTCAGTTCTGCTCTGATTTTAGTTATTTCTTGCCTTGTGCTAGCTTTTGAATGCGTTTGCTCTTGCTTTTCTAGTTCTTTTAATTGTGATGTTAGGGTGTCAATTTTGGATCTTTCCTGCTTTCTCTTGTGGGCATGTAGTGCTATAAATTTCCCTCTACACACTGCTTTGAATGCGTCCCAGAGATTCTGGTATGTGGTGTCTTTGTTCTCGTTGGTTTCAAAGAACATCTCTATTTCTGCCTTCATTTCGTTATGTACCCAGTAGTCATTCAGGAGCAGGTTGTTCAGTTTCCATGTAGTTGAGCGGTTTTGAGTGAGATTCTTAATCCTGAGTTCTAGTTTGATTTCACTGTGGTCTGAGAGATAGTTTGTTATAATTTCTGTTCTTTTACATTTGCTGAGGAGAGCTTTACTTCCCAGTATGTGGTCAATTTTGGAATAGGTGTGGTGTGGTGCTGAAAAAATGTATATTCTGTTGATTTGGGGTGGAGAGTTCTGTAGATGTCTATTAGGTCTGCTTGGTGCAGAGCTGAGTTCAATTCCTGGGTATCCTTGTTGACTTTCTGTCTCGTTAATCTGTCTAATGTTGACAGTGGGGTGTTAAAGTCTCCCATTATTAATGTGTGGGAGTCTAAGTCTCTTTGTAGGTCACTCAGGACTTGCTTTATGAATCTTGGTGCTCCTGTATTGGGTGCATATATATTTAGGATAGTTAGCTCTTCTTGTTGAATTGATCCCTTTACCATTATGTAATGGCCTTCTTTGTCTCCTTTGATCTTTGTTGGTTGAAAGTCTGTTTTATCAGAGACTAGGATTGCAACCCCTGCCTTTTTTTGTTTTCCATTTGCTTGGTAGATCTTCCTCCATCCTTTTATTTTGAGCCTATGTGTGTCTCTGCGCGTGAGATGGGTTTCCTGAATACAGCACACTGATGGGTCTTGACTCTTTATCCAATTTGTCAGTCTGTGTCTTTTAATTGGAGCATTTAGTCCATTTACATTTAAAGTTAATATTGTTTTGTGTGAATTTGATCTTGTCATTCTGATGTTAGCTGGTTATTTTGCTCATTAGTTGATGCAGTTTCTTCCTAGTCTCGATGCTCTTTACATTTTGGCATGATTTTGCAGTGGCTGGGACCGGTTGTTCCTTTCCATGTTTAGTGCTTCCTTCAGGAGCTCCTGTAAGGCAGGCCTGGTGGTGACAGAATCTCTCAGCATTTGCTTGTCTGTAAAGGATTTTATTTCTCCTTCACTTATGAAGCTTAGTTTGGCTGGACATGAAATTCTGGGTTGAAAATTATTTACTTTAAGATTGTTGAATATTGGCCCCCACTCTCTTCTGGCTTGTAGGGTTTCTGCCAAGAGATCCACTGTTAGTCTGATGGGCTTCCCTTTGAGGGTAACCCGACCTTTCTCTCTGGTTGCCCTTAACATTTTTTCCTTCATTTCAACTTTGGTGAATCTGACAATTATGTGTCTTGGAGTAGCTCTTCTCGAGGAGTATCTCTGTGGCATTCTCTGTATTTCTTGAATCTGAACGTTGGCCTGCTTTGCTAGATTGGGGAAGTTCTCCTGGATAATATTCTGCAGAGTGTTTTCCAACTTGGTTCCATTCTCCCCATCACTTTCAGGTACACCAATCAGATGTAGATTTGGTCTTTTCACATAGTCCCATATTTCTTGGAGGCTTTGCTCATTTCTTTTTATTCTTTTTTCTCTAAACTTCCCTTCTTGCTTCATTTCATTCATTTCATCTTCCATCGCTGATACCCTTTCTTCTAGATGACTGCATCGGCTCCTGAGGCTTCTGCATTCTTCACGTAGTTCTCGAGCCTTGGTTTTCAGCTCCATCAGCTCCTTTAAGCACTTCTCTGTATTGGTTATTCTAGTTATACATTCTTCTAAATTTTTTTCAAAGTTTTCAACTTCTTTGCCTTTGGTTTGAATGTCCTCCTGTAGCTCAGAGTAATTTGATCGTCTGAAGCCTTCTTCTCTCAGCTCGTCAAAGTCATTCTCCATCCAGCTTTGTTCCGTTGCTGGTGAGGAAGTGCGTTCCTTTGGAGGAGGAGAGGCGCTCTGCTTTTTAGAGTTTCCAGTTTTTCTGCTCTGTTTTTTCCCCATCTTTGTGGTTTTATCTACTTTTGGTCTTTGATGATGGTGATGTACAGATGGGTTTTTGGTGTGGATGTCCTTTCTGTTTGTTAGTTTTCCTTCTAACAGAGAGGACCCTCAGCTGCAGGTCTGTTGGAGTACCCTGCCGTGTGAGGTGTCAGTCTGCCCCCGCTAGGGGGTGCCTCCCAGTCAGGCTGCTCGGGGGTCAGGGGTCAGGGACCCACTTGAGGAGGCAGTCTGCCCGTTCTCAGATCTCCAGCTGCGTGCTGGGAGAACCACTGCTCTCTTCAAAGCTGTCAGACAGGGACACTTAAGTCTGCAGAGGTTACTGCTGTCTTTTTGTTTGTCTGTGCCCTGCCCCCAGAGGTGGAGCCTACAGAGGCAGGCAGGCCTCCTTGAGCTGTGTTGGGCTCCACCCAGTTGGAGCTTCCTGGCTGCTTTGTTTACCTAAGCAAGCCTGGGCAATGGCGGGCGCCCCTCCCCAGTGGCGGGCGCCCCTCCCCCAGCCTCGCTGCCGCCTTGCAGTTTTATCTCAGACTGCTGTGCTAGCAATCAGGGAGACTCCGTGGGCGTAGGACCCTCCGAGCCAGGTGCGGGATATAATCTCGTTGTGGGCTGTTTTTTAAGCCCATCGGAAAAGCGCAGTATTCAGGTGGGAGTGACCCGATTTTCCAGGTGCCGTCCGTCACCCCTTTCTTTGACTCAGAAAGGGAACTTCCTGACCCCTTGCGCTTCCCAAGTGAGGCAGTGCCTCGCCCTGCTTTGGCTCGCACATGGTGCGCGCACCCACTGACCTGTGCCCACTGTCTGGCACTCCCTAGTGAGATGAACCCAGTACCTCAGATGGAAATGCAGAAATCACCCGTCTTCTGTGTCGCTCACGCTGGGAGCTGTAGACCGGAGCTGTTCCTATTCGGCCATCTTGGCTCCTCCGTCAGCTTTACCTTTAAAAACATTATGTTTTTAAGTTTGAAGCTATTTTCGTCTTCTTTCAGAGGCCAAATAGGTGGTTTCAGCATTTTGTTGAAAGCATCTTCCAAAATTGTAAATGTAGAAACACAAGAATGGGCATTTGGCAAAAGTAGCATCAAAAAGCATGTCCCAGAGCGAAAGCCAAGGAGTCTGGCAGACCTGAAGAGGATTTGGGGAAGAAAATAAACACTAGCAATCAGTCCAATTAGATGTAGCTGTAAGGTAAGTGTTTTTGTTGAAGGGGCTATTCGTCTGTGCTTAAACATTTTTTATTTTATTCACATCATATATGTTGTGCAGAAAACCTTATTAGTTGTTCCCACAACAACTGAATATAATGCCACATTTTATGAATGATCCATAAGCCTTAGTAATATTATGAAATAATCTTTAAAATTAAACTTGTGTATTCGTTGTCATTTTGAAAAGAGCATGTTAAAAATTTAATTTATAATGTTGTGTGAATTTTAATCTGATGTGTGAAATTATAGAAACCACATAAAGTCTAAACATAAATAGATTTTGTATGTTACTCTTCCCAAGTAACCTTCATGTAAGGCTAGCCATCTTTATAGTCTACTGAAAACTCTTTTAAAAATTATTTGTGTATGCTACATAACATGCATGTATACATCTGTCTTTGTCATTTGCATTAAAAATTGTTAATATTGTTTATCAATGTGTAATTATTTTACAGGAAGAAGATTTAAATTGTATGGCACTTTGTCTTCTTGATGTTATATAAAAACATACTACCTGAGATGGCTCATACCGGTGTGATTTTCCAGGTAAATTTATAGTCTAGTAATTGGATATTATGAACTGATAAAAATAATGCCAAGATAACTGAAAATATTAATAGATTCTGATCTTTTATTGCCTGTGAAAGTTTGTTAACTTATCAAGTAGATCTGAGAAAATGAGTTTTACAAGCTATATCAACTGATAGTATAAAAATTATTTAATAGATCATCTTTCCTTTATACGTAATATGACTGTATACTGGCTTGATAACTTTTTTTCTTGCTAAGGTAAATTATTCAGGTATTTTAATTTAAAAAAAATTAGATTGATTAATAAAAATGAAGATAAGCAAGGCTTTCTCTTGAATATCAAATTAATTTGAATGTAACATATCAACTCACTGTTACTTAAAAGATAAGAATAAGAAATGTTTTAATGGCAGAGGAAAAATGTCAACAGAGCTTTGATTCAGAGAAGGCTGCAGAATGAATAGTCAGTAGTTAAGTACAAAGCATTAGAAAATTCACAAAAGTAATTGATGCTTTAACAGCCACTCTTTAAGACCTCCTACATGTATCATTATAGTAATAATTAGGATTAGAAACACTAAAGTTTTAGGAGTTTTTCCAAGGGCATTTGACAATTTTTAAGTCAACTGTTAAATACACAAAATTATGTCAATACATTTTCCTTGTTAAAATAATACTGTATACAGCTACAAGTCTCCTTTGTCCACCTGATCCAAGTCTCTTTACCTCTCTCCAGATGTGGCCTCTCTTGACAGTTTAATATGGATTCATAATGTATATGCCTATGTAATGTATCTATGGCTATCATATATACGTATACATTTTTAAATATAAATTATGTCCTTTGTTTCTATCATGGGGCAACTTGATTTGATCACTCTTGTTAGTGTATGTAAATAATGCATTAAACAAACATACAGTTGACCTTTGAATAACATGGGTTTGAACTGTGTAGGTCCAATTCTACCTGGAGTTTTTTCACTAAACATACCGGAAAAATTTTTGGAGATTTGGGACAATTTGGAAAAACTTGGACATAAAATACATAGCCTAGAAATATCAAAAACAATTTTAAAGTTAGGTATGTCATGAATGCATAAAATATATGTAGACACTATAATAGTGTATTTTATCATTGACTACCATAAAATATGCACAATTCTATTATAGAAAGTTAAACATTATCAAAACGTATGCACCCAAACACTTACAGACTGTACATGGCATCATTTGCAGTCAAGATAAATGTAAACAAATTTAAAGATTAAGTATTCAATCCCAATTGCATACAATTAACTGTAGTGTATACTGTACTACTGTAATAAATTTGTAGCCACCTCCCATTACTATTGCAGTAAGCTCAAGTGTTTTCAGCATGCTCTAAAAGCCTCTTATGATGTTCATCACCTCAGAGTGAGCAATTTGTCTTTCCAGTAGATTGAGTATCACAGTAGAAAGTGATCTCCTGTAGTTCTCACGTATTTTTTATCCAGTTTAATGTGATACCATAAACTTTCCATAATATCGTGGGGCCAGTACAAAGCGCCACTAGTGATGCTTTCTTGTTATGCACTGTAGATTGAAATCTGCAGCTGTGGCTGCCCACTGTTTCGAGATAAATGAATTCAGGGTAAGGACCATTGCAAAGAAAGAGAAGGAAATTTGTTAAGCCATTGCTGCAGCTATGTCAGCAAACACAAAAACCTTGCACTCTTTGTGAAATGTCTTTTTATGTTGTATTGAAAATGCAGCTTTTATGTAGGTGCAGGAGTGCTGTAAGAAAAGCATAACTTTTCTTTGAGAAAAAGCAAAGTCATGCTAAAATAAAGTAAAAAGGGTGTGAAGGATCTAAAGCTGGAGTATTTAATGCAGCCAAGGATAGTTTGATAATTTTAGAAAGAAGTGTGTCTTAGAAATGTCAAGGACACAGGAGACACAGCTTCTGTTGACCAAGAGATAGTACATGAGTTTCCATATGACATTAAAAAAAAATCGAGGAGAAAGGATGATATCTGCCTGAACAGGTTTGAATACAAACAGAAGTACCCTATTCTGAAAAACAGCCACCAAGGTCATTTATTAGTAAGGAAAAGAAGTGAACACAAGGATTTAAGGCAGGAAGAGGTAGGCTAACTACTGTTCTGTGAAAATGCAGTTGGGTTTATGATCATGGCTGTCTTTATCTATAAAGCTGCTAACCCTTAAGTCTTGAAGGGAAAAAATAAACATTAGCTGCCAGTCTTTTAGTTATTTGGGCAATGAGAACTCTTTTTCTGGATTGGTTCCATTGATTCTTTGCCCCTGAAGTCAGCAAGTACCTTGCCAATAAAGGACTACCTTTTAAAGTTCTTTTGATATTGGATGATGCTCCTGCCCATGTAGAACCCTGTGAGTTCAACATTGAAGGTGTCAAAATAGTCTACTTGTCCACAAACACGATGTCTCTAATTCAATCTCTAAATTAGGGGGATATAAGGACCTTTAAGGCGGTTACACATGGTGTCTATGGAAAGACTTGTCAATGCTGTGGAGAAGAACTCTGGTAGAGAGAACCTGATGAAAATCATGAAAGTATGGAAGAATTACACCATTGAAGATGCCAGTGTTGTTATAAGAAAAAAAAAAAAACCACCATGAAAGCCATTAAGCCTGAAACAATAAATTCCTGCTGAAGAGAACTGTGTCCAGATGTTGTGCATAACTTTACAGGATTTACAACAGAGCCAATCAAGGAAATCATCAAAGGGATTGTGGACATGGCAAAAAAAAAAAAAAAAGAAAGAAAGTGAAGGATGAGGGTTTTGAAATATGAATGTTGGAGAAACTCAAGTGCTAATAGACACTGCACCAGAGGAATTAATGGATGAAAACTTGATGGAGATGAGCGCTTCTAAGCCAGTGCCAGACTATGAAGAAAACAGAAGGAACAGTGCCAGAAAACAAATTGATGTTAGACAATCTGGCAGAAGGGTTCTGATTATTCAAGACTGCATTTGAGTTCTTTCATGATGGGGTGTTGAAACTAAAGCAAACATTAGAAAATAACTAATACCATATAGAAACATTTTTAGAGAAATGAAAAACCAAAAATGTCAGACAGAAATTACAATGTGTTTCCATAAAGTGACACCAGGTATGCCTGCACCTCATTCCTCCCCTTCCATATCCTCTGCCTCTTCCACCTCTTCCAACTCTGCCACGTCTGACAGCAAACCAAGCCCTCCCCTTTCTCCTCCTCTTCAGCCTTCTCAATGTGAAGATGAGGATGAAAACCTTTACAATAGTTCAGTTCCACATAATAAATAATAAACATTTTTTTCTTCCTTATGATTTTTGATAACATTTTTATTTATCTTACTCTATTGTAAGAATACAGTGTATAACACATGTAACATAAAAAATTTGTTCATCAACTCTTTATATTATCACTAAGGCTTCTGGGTCAGCAGTAGGCTATTAGTAATAAGTTTTGATGAGTTAACAGTTATATGTGGATTTTCGACTGTGTGGGAAGTCAACAACCCTAACTCCCACATTGTACAAGGGTCGACTGTATGTGGATTGTAATCCAAACATAGCCTTACTTTTTTCTTCTCATTTTCTTAAACTTTATTCTTTGGAGTAAATACCTCCTGCAGATTGATAAAAATTTAGACAAACCTAAGATAGATCTGGTCATTTTTAAGTAATAAAATATCCTTTGTTCATAGGGAGTCATAAAAATAAAATCTCAGTTTTGAAAATTAGATATATAGTCCTAGGTGACAGTGAAAATTTTGCAATATTTAGCTTTAAATCATCTTGTCTTAACTATGTGGGATTGGTTCAGACTGAAGCTACATTGGAAATAAAGCAAGATACCTTTACTTTCTTAATATAAATTTAAGATTGCCAAGCTCATCTTCTTCAGCATCGACTAGTGGCAAATTCAGACAGAACTATTTGTCAAATACTGTGGAAGAGGGAGAAGGAGTTTAGGTAGTTCTTGTCTGGTGTGTAGTTAGAGTTCTCTCAACATGGCAGATAGTTAAATGTTACTCTTGCTTTCCTGGGACATGTTCATGGGCATTTTAAAGATTACTATCTGGATTCCTCACTTTCAGGTTCTCTTGGCTTAATATGGGGCATCTGCATTTCGAGTCACTTTTTGTAGTCCTCCAGCAGTCTTGGCATTTAGTTGTCTACCTCCATCTCTGTCTGCTAAGGTCACTCCTCAGGCAGTTCTCTTAGACAAGATCCAAGATGATTCCACATTTGTGCTCTCTCATACAGGTCCCAGTGGGGATCTAAAGCAAAAACTTGGGGTTCCCTTATCTCTACAAATGCTGAGATTGGAAGTAACTAAGGAGAGCAATCTAGCCTTCTTAGTGTCAGGCATCTCCCTACCAATTACGGAAAAACATTTCTAAAGTTCTCACCCTGGTATTTTTAAGTGATCCTCAAAAGGCTTGGGGGCTTAAAGATAATATAATTTGCCTGAATACATTAGTTTTTAAGCCAGCCACAAACAGGTGGAATTGTTGGGTCCTGGGGTGTGTACATTTTAAATTTTAACGGAATGCAGTAAATTTTTACCCTGCATGATTTTATTTGTGCTAACAACATTTAAAAGTGTCTCCAGAATGGTAGAAAATACTTGAAAAATATTTCCACATTGTTTATTTATTTATATGTTTATTGAACTTTATCTTTTCCATTTTCATTTTGACAAGAAATCCTACATCTTGCTCAAACAAATCTGACTTCAATAGAAAACAAGAAAACACATTAAGAGTTACACTGTTAGGTATTTTCTTTTTTTTTTTTTTTTTTTTTTTTTGAGACGGAGTCTCGCTCTGTGGCCCAGGCGGGAGTGCAGTGGCGCAATCTCGGCTCACTGCAAGCTCCGCCTCCCGGGTTCACGCCATTCTCCTGCCTCAGCCTCCCGAGTAGCTGGGACTACAGGCGCCCACCATCACGCCCGGCTAATTTTTTTTGTATTTTTAGTAGAGACGGGGTTTCACCGTGTTAGCCAGGATGGTCTCGATCTCCTGACCTCGTGATCCGCCCGCCTCGGCCTCCCAAAGTGCTGGGATTACAAGCGTGAGCCACCGCGCCCGGCCAGGTATTTTCTTGTGAATAAATAATTTTCTCTGTATATTTTGCATGACATGTTGCTCACTTTAAAATGTTTTTGTCAGGTTTTCGGTGATTTAAAAATAGCATTTTGATAATTGAGGCAACTGGACATTATAACCACTCTATATACTTTTGTTACCTACTTTCATTCCTTTCTCTCTCTCTCTCTCGTTCTATCTTTCTCTCTTTCTTGTGGCCACTACGGTAAGCAAAATAAAATTTGGGAAAGTCACTTTATATTTTCCTTCCTGATGTATCAATGAATTTGAAAAACTTCAATTCTGATTTATTATAAGTGCTACTGTGTGTGAGAGCAAGTTTGAGAAAGAGAAAGTTTGCACTTGTGACAGAGAAAGAGGGAGAGAGAGATTAGAGAGTGGAAGGAAAATGAAATGCATTAGAAAAGTAATTGATTTATGACAAATGTAAATATATGTTTTACTATAGGAAAATACAACTCAGTTCTTTTTATTAGAGAAATTCTGTGGTAAGAAATGATCCATTTTATTAGAAAATGTTTTTTGGTATAATTTAGTTCTATTTGAGGAATGTACATTCAAAACCAGATCATTTCTTTATTGCTTTTCTCTCTAGCTTGTATTAATGCCTTTAGAGATTTTTCTTAAAAACTCCTATGAACTTGCTGAGAGGAGGTCATTTGAGTGTCTTGTGTCCCATCTACCCTTAATATAACTGTAACAGAATGTAAAAATCATGAAAAGAGTAATACACAATTAGTGAATGCAACAGAAACTCAGTTTCTTTTTTTTCTACTTTTTTTCTCTAACAAGCTTCAAGATCATTCTTTTCTATTACTATGTGATTTGCTCCCTAGTAGCTCCCAAATTACTTCCCCTCCTTTTTATCTTGTCATTTTTTCACTATTCAAAAATATATTTTGTAATATTTAAACAAGGAAACCCTAGCAGGCATTATGCTGCCCTTTCTGCATTACTCTTTTTTCTTTCTTTGATCATCTGTTCCTTTCAGGTGCCATGGTTTGTTTAAAGAGGAGGCTGAACTAAAGTGTAGTCTTGTGTGTGAACAAACAAAGTAAATATAGGAGGCATAAATATAGAGCCAGTCCACAGAAAAATGAAGCAAGGGGGCAGAGTGCAACACTGCAAAAATGCAAAATGGCAAGATACAAGATCATAATTTCTTTAAGTTGGAAAATCTTTTGTGGGCAGTCATGTTTTATGTTGTAATCAGGTTTAATTGAGGAAATGGTTTTTAATTATGCTAAATATGTGATTTTTTTCATATTTCTTTCCCAAATGTGGATTGGAATAATTACAGAAAAAATATACTCAACAGGAAGAAGTTTCTCATTCAGTTGATGTTTAAAAAATATTTTTCCAAATTTGTATTTTGACTTATTGACAATATAAAAACAAGACATACTCTTCCTTCATATTATATGTATACATAAAATATTAAACACATATATTAATCAGAGTAAAAAATAAGAAACATTTTTATAACTGCATATATATAAAAAAATTATAGGTATTATACATGTTTTCCCTTAAAAATATAGTCCAAATGCAGGAATGATATATTTCTCATTCATTTTCTAAAATGTGTTTCAGTTACCAATTGATACTGAATGTCCCTACTTTGTGTATATGCTTTTGTATGTATATAAAAACATATATGCATTACAGACATTTGAGTCAACAAAACAAATAAATCTAAGAAACCCTAAAATCTATTATAAGGATAAATATTGTTCTGATACCATTAAAGGCTTCCAAAGACTACACAATTATACTACAATAATTCTGGTGAATTTCACACCAGCTAAGTATGGCAAGCCCTAGGTAATGGCTTGCAAACAAGACAGTCATTCATTAAGCCTTTTACCCCCAGGGCTATTTATATTCGCTTTATGTTGCTAGGCTATAGCCATGAGAAGAAGTGCTATTTTATTTTTATTTTTTTTTTATTTTTTATTTTTTTTTGCACAATAGTTGAGGTCTGTTTTACTAGTAGGGAAAAAATCCATTTGATTTTTCCTTATAGTAAACTTTGATAGGGAAAAAATGTTCAGCTTTTAAAAGTTGCCCAGGTATTTATGTGCTTGGATAACCACAAAAGTACTTTTGTTTAAGATCTCCTGCATGACATGCAAATGGTCTTTATAAAGCAATGCTTGATTTGCCCTATTTTAAATTCGTGTGCCTTTTTTTTCAGTCACTGGATAGGAACATGGAATCTGACATAATGAATCAGTCCATTGAGCCATCAAGTAGACTATTTTGCTTCTAATAATAGTCTATAAATGGGACTTTGGAGAAAAATAAAATACATTGCCTACTGCAAATTTGGAAATATCTTACCCAATGTTTCTGATTCTGTCCCAAGTAGGCAATTCGCTGTGAACTCTAAGGTCAGAATAATGCAAAATTTTTACATTTCCTTTATCATGGAAGTACTTCAAGTGCATTTCTTATTTTCATCTAACAGCAGGTTATGTGATAGCTTAGGGATTTTATCTGTTATTAGATTTTACATCTCTTATAAGTTATAAAAGTGTTGACAGTTTCCATATTGAATTTAATTCTATGTATTCTGTAGAAATCTACTTTCATTGTTTTTTATTGTGACTGTTTTTTGGAAGTGTTTCTACGGCTCTAAACAGTTTCGGCTACTCTGTAGCAGTATTCATTTCAGTTCATCTTTTCTATGACTAAAAAGTTGGCTGCTACTTTAATGTAATGAAAGAAATTCTGCTTGTAAGAAAGCCTTAAAATATAGGTAGATAATTGAGGAATACATGTTTAGGGCAATCTCAATATATTTGCCTCCTACACAATGTTTATTTTAATTGCAAAAAAAAACATTTTTTTCCTATTAAATACATTTTTATTTTAACAGCAAAAAATTTTATCAACCAAAAGTTGAAATTTTCCAAAACTTACACTAACATAGACTTAGGGTGCTCTTCACCAATCCCACATCATTGAGTTCAAGCAGCACTGAATTTAAATCCTGAAAAGAGTAGCAAAGTGAATTTATTTCTTATATTATAGTCACAAAATTTTTTTCACAGTATTTCATTTTTAGATCTACTTCAAAGAGTAACAGATGCTTACATGAGATATTTACATAAGAAACATTAGAGCTATATACTCAATCTAGATTTATAAACTATACACGATGTTTTCTTAATAATTTATAATGGTTTGAATGTAATGCATTTTATTCCTTCTCCTTCTTCATTCATGTACAGAAAATAATTCTCATGAAAAATTAATTTTTCTCACATAATTCTTGGAATTAAATAAATCCAGATTTTAAAATCTATAAATTACCTTACACTACCATGCTCTGTTAATATCACGCTTAAGGTTTGGGGATCTGAGAAAAATGTGTGTGTGGGTATATATGTGTGTGTGTGTGTGTATATATATATATGTATATGTATATTTATATATAAATGATATTTATATTTAACATGATGTATATCACAGATATATCATGATATAAATATTTATATTTAACATGATATAATATACATCAAGATATATATCATATATATCATAATACAGATCTATATGGAGATGACATATAATAATATATATCATATTACCTATATTACATATATATTAGATAATATGTAATGAATATATAGATATGTATTTTATTTATATATAAATATATATTATATATATTTATCATGATATAAATATATATATGATATTGCATCTGCATCTGGTATTATGATATTGCACCTGCATCTGCACCAGGCCTCCCCTATAGGTAATAAGATATATTATATTACACATATACCTATATATAGGTAATATGATATATATATATATGCCTATAAACCTATATATGATTTATTACATATATACCTATGTATGTAATATATATAATTATATGTGTAAAATGATATATATTATATATATCATATATATACCTATATATGATTTATTACATATATACCTATATATTAGTAATATGACATATATAATTATATATGTAAAATGATATATATCATATATATCATATATATACCTATATATGATTTATTACATATATACCTATATATTAGTAATATGATATATATATAATTATATTTATTTAACATGATATATATGTATATATACACATCATATTACCTTTGATAATTAGGTGGCACATTTATTGTGGTTTCTGTGGGAAGGGTAGGGCAAGTTAGGGCAAATAGGCTTAGAATTGGTTACTTATATCTGACAATGTCATGAAATTTATATTCATTACTCCTGTTAAAATGTATCATTTAGTCTGGACACGGTGGCTCATGCCTTTAATCCCAGCACTTTGGGAGGCCGAAGTGGATGGATCACTTGAGCTCAGGAGTTCAAGACCAACCTAGGCAAAAAATAGAAAATTTAGCCAGAGGTGGTGGCACGTGCCTTTAGTCCCAGCTACTTGGGAGGCTGAGGTAGTAGGATTACATGGCACTGCACTCCAGTCTGTGTGACAGAGTGAGACACCATATCCAGATGAGCCTCCCTGCAACCCCTGTATTTTTCTGTTCTCACCCTGCTTAAAGACATACCTGAGACTGGGTAATTTATAAAGAGAAAGAGGTGTACTGGACTCACAGCTCCACAAGGCTGTGGAGGCCTCACAATCATGGCAGAAGGCAAGAAGAAGCAAAGCCACATCTTACATGGCAGCAGGCAATAGGGCATGTGGAGGGGAACTCCCCTTTATAAAACCATCAGATCTCAAGACTTATTCACTATTATGAGAACAGCACAGAAAAAACCCGCCCCCATTATTCAATTAACTCCCACCAGGTCCCTCACATGACATGTGGGGATTATTATAATTCAAGGTGAGATTTGGGTGAGAACACAGAGCCAAACCATATCAATTCCTCAAAATATAATGTATAGTTTAAAACTACATAAGTACGCTGGATAGCTCTAGGTCAGTCACAATTCCCTCAGGGGATGCTAATAGGCTCATAGGTTTATGTTATGCATCAATTTACAGAAAATAAAAATTTGGTTAATACAATGACTTACCCATCCTTAAACATCATTATTGTTCTAATGAATATGGATATAATTCACATATAAATATAAATGGAATTTATCATGCATTTTGAAATTTATTTGCTTCGTGAATTGTTACAAATACAGGTTCTTTATTATTTTTATTATTCACCATTTCTATCTGCTTTACAAAAATTTACATGCAAATTTCTGCCTTCCACTAAATGAAATGTAGAGTCTGCACTAGATAAATGGTGAAAACGTTTCAACATTTTCAAAAAATCTCCTATCTCATAAGATTTATTAGCAGATTCTTCCTGGTTCCTGAGTGAACAGTGCCATCTTTTTTGATTCATAAATACATGGTCTCGACTTATTCTGCAGAGATGTTTAATTAATTTGATTCTTGATATATGACTTTTTAAAAGTCACATATAACTTTTATGTTTCTCATTAATATAAGAAACTTTGTATAAAAATCTCAGATTAAATTTAAAAAGAGCTAGAATATATTAACCTGTTTAGAACAGAAAGCCAAAGTTAAGTAATGACCAATAGGAAACACAGAGCATTTTTTTCCCTCTCTTTCTTATATACTATTCTATTACTTTTTAAATATTATTTGGAAATTTATTTAGATGGAAATATTCGGCATAGAAAGAAAACAAGGATGCAGTACCTTAGTTAACTAAGAAGGCAACTAATTCCATCATTATTCACTTATTATAAGTATTCTCTACAGTGGATATAGATTAAATACAGGAGTATAGTCTGAAACTCTGTGGTGAGTTCTAGACTATATTATCTTGACTAGTCACCCTTAAATCTTGAATCAAAGACTGTATTCAAAACTACGGTATTTAAATTTTAGCAATGCATATGTTTTGTGCCCTTATGCAAATTTTAAGCAGGTTGAATCTGATTAATCTATAAGACCTGCTATAATCTGTCCCCTGCCTGCTTCTGCAGCCTCATCTTAAATCGCTTTCCTTTGTGGTCATCAGAACCTTGCTGATCCTCTTTCTTTTTTCTTTCTTTTTTTTTTTTTTTTGAGACGGAGTCTCGCTCTGTTGGCCAGGCTGGAGTGCAGTGGCATGATCTCGGCTCACTGCAAGCTCCGCCTTCCGGGTTCACGCCATTCTCCTGCCTCAGCCTCCCGAGTGTTGAGACTACAGGCGTCCACCTCCACGCCCGGCTAATTTTTTTTATTTTTAGTAGAGACGGGGTTTCACCGTGTTAGCCAGGATGGTCTCGATCTCCTGACCTCTTGATCTGCCCGCCTCGGCCTCCCAAGCTGATCCTCTTTCTTTACCTTCATATGCATTGTCCCTGCCCTCGGACTCTGCCCAGCTTCCCACTTCATACTCTTCCAACTCTGAATGGCTAGTGTTCATTACTCAGGTCTCACTAATATGTCCACTCTTCAGAATGGCCCACCCAAACTATCTTTTCGTAGAAGACTCCCCTTTTCTGTCATAGTACTCTGTTAGTTTTCCTTATAACTTCATAATTTTAGATATTGTTCACATACTTTTTTACTTGATATTCTCTTCCTCAGAAAATGACAAATCTCAGGAAGTGTTTGCAACACTGTAAATGCAAGGCTTAACACAGTGCTTGACAGTATAATTATGGTGAATCAGTGAATGAAAGTTACTAAAATAGTTGGTGTGGGAGAAAAGAAAATCAGTACCTGATTTTTATGAGAGATGCAGCTATTTGTCTGTTTATTGATTGGATGGAATAAGTCTATTAAAATGTTCTAGTAAAGGGGATTTTTTTTCGCCTTGCCTCAGATAAGTGCATGACAGCAATTCTAGGTGAGTGAGTCTCCTCTGCAGAGCTAAGCTTTTCCCATGAGTTGGGCTGCCCAAAATCCACACTGGCATGCTGATGGTGACAGTGGTGAGATGAACAGAGCCAGAGCTCCATCTAATATTGCAGTCATGTTCTCCAACCGGTTTTACACAAAGACATTCTTTTCTGCTCTCAATTTTTCTGATTCCTTTATTCAATTACTAATTTATTCTGTATCTAAATGAAAAAGAGAGAGACTATTTTTATCCCACAATGCCTTTTCTCCAAAGAGTTATTTTGAAGGTCATGAAGCAATGCTAATAAGCTGAGTTGTAAGGTAATATTCCAGAATACTAGTATTATTAAAGCTGAAGATGATTGTAAAATGGCTATTTGAAAAATTTGGTTTGCAAATAAACTATTGATGAGAGAGATAACAGAAAGTATGGAAATTTATGTTTGAGAAGACGATAACAATTACTCTGAGGAGAGATATTAAAGAAACAATTAGCAATATTGGAAGAAAACTATATACATAATATAATATTACTATACACAAAAGAAGAGTTAAAATAAATGGTGCTGACCACATTCTCCTATTATGCAACAGTGTGTGAAATCCTTAGATTTAATCAGATTCAGAAGAGTCCATAAAGCTCCTAGAAATCCTAGAAAGCTATTAAATTTTGCCTCAAATTAAATGTTCGTTGCCCCATCTAACTGTGAAGCTCTCTCTGTGATTAGTAGAAATTCTGTTTTGACTTTCAAAAACTTTATAATTCACTGTTTGTGAAGGATTACAAGAACTTGTATGCTCCATAGCAGCTGCTGGATTAACCATGCCATGTATAATTAATTCCACTACTATAACAGATAAAGCCTTTTAACAGACTATCAGAGTGGAGAGAAAATAAAAAATGGTTTCTAAGAATGTTCCAAACATGAAAGTGTTTGCCTTGATACCTATATATAGACTAAAAATAAATGAACATCCTTATATCCTAAGAGTTAGTTCAGGAAAGTATAGCTGCAGAGCTCATTCCTTACTGACCAAAGGCTTATGGAAGTATAGTCTTATGTCGTATGTACTAGCAGGAAAATTTTGGCAGTTGAAACTGCTTACCACAAAGGTGTCTATGAAAAGTTCCAACGGAACATCATGAAGCAAATTTAATATTAAAAGTAATAATGCAGTTACGTGTTTTACACTGAAAAGTGTTCAATAAACAACCATGATTGACTTTGTTGTTTTTACTTACCAGAGGAGAAAGATGTTCATATGATCATTTTAAAAGTTACAGAGAAAGCACTGGACAAATTAAAAACTCACTCACACTGTTGCTGCTGCTGCTGCTGCTGCTGCTGCTAGTACTGGTGCTACTACTACCTATACTACTGTTAGTGATAATAATATAACTTCTCAAACAATGGAAATAGGAATAAAAACACTTTTTCAATCTTATGAGGTATATTTATCCATCAAAAAATTTTAACTAAAACCACAATGTAGAAACATTGAAACTTTTCATCTAAGATTGGAGACAAGGGAAGGTTACATCTTTAATATTCACATTCAATATCCAGGGCAATAAGACATTTATTTAAAAATAAACATAAAGATTATAGAAGCAAAATCAAAAATTCCTTATTTGTAGACATCATAATGTGTACGTTGAAGAGTCTATCAATTATAAATAAAACTATACCTAATAAATCTAACAAGATCACAAGATATACATTCAGTATCTAGAAATAAATGTTATTTCTATGTACTAGCTACAAACACTTTAAAAATACAATTAAAATGCATTTAGAGTAGCATTATAAACATTAAATATGTAAGAATAAATATAACAACATATATTAGACCTCTATAATGAAAATGTTTATGAACAGACAACTTGCACAGTGGAAGAAAATATTTTTGAACTACACATCTAACCGTGGACTAATACACAGAATTTATAAGAAACAACTCAACAGCCACACAATAAAACAAAACAAATAACCCATTAAAAAGTGGGCAAAAGACCTGGATAGATATTTTTCAAAAGAAAATATGCAAAATCCAACAAGCCTGTCAAAAATGTTCAACATCAGAGAAATGCAAATTCAAACTGCAATGAGATATCATCTTACATGAGTCAGAATGCCTTTTGTTAAAAGTCAAAAAATAATAGATATTGGCAAGGATGAAGAGTAAAGACTACCTTATACACTGTTGATAGAAATATAAGTCAGTACAACCTCTATGAAAACAGTATGGAGATTTTCAAAGAACCAAAAATAGAACTATCATTCAATTTAGGAATCCCACTACTGGGTATCTACCTAAACAAAAATACATTATTGTATAATAAAGATACTTGGCTTGTATATTTATCACAGCATTATTCGCAATAGTAAATATATGGAATCAATTTAAGTGGCCATCAATGGGTGATTGGATAGAGAAAATGTGGTGTATATACATAAAGATACTATCCACCCATAAAAAATAATGCAATCATATATTTACAATAACATGGATGGAATTGGAAGTCACTATCTTAAGTGAAACAATTCAGAAACAGGAAGTCAAATGTTCTCACTTATCAATGGGAGCTAAATAATGTGTACACATGGACATAGATTGTGGAATAATAAACATTGGAGACTTAGAAGTCTGGGGGTGTGGAAGGGCAGTGGGTGATGAGAAATTACTCAATAGGTACAATGTATAGTATCTGAGTGATAGATACACTAAACACCAAGACTACAACATTGTGTTTAAAAAAACTGCACATGTACTCCTACAATTTATAAAAATAAAAAGGGGAAAAATTAAAAATGGTAAATAGTAGTGAAAGAAATTTTAAAATATTCAAAGAAATTAAGAAACATACCATTGGAAGACTCAACATTGTTCAAATATTATTATTATTAAAATATCTGTTCTTACAAATGACCTTTTTTTGAGATGGAGTCTCTGTCGCCCAGACTGCTGTGTGCAGTGGCATGATCTTGCCTCACTGCAACCTCTGCCTCCCAGGTTCAAGTGATTCTCCTGCCTCAGCCTCCTGAGTAGCTGGAACTAGAGGCGCCCACCACCAACCTGGCTAATTATTGTGTTTTTAGTAGCGACGGGGTTTCACCATGTTGGACAGGCTGGTCTCAAACTCCTTACCTCAGGTCACCCTCCCGCCTTGACCTCCCAAAGTGCAGGGATCACAGTGTCATCCACGGTGCCCAGCCCCCAGATGACCTTTATATGCAACACGATTCCAATGAAAATTCAAGCAGTTTTTAAATGAAATTTATGAGATAA
Organism: Homo sapiens; assembly: GCF_000001405.40. Taxonomy (NCBI): domain Eukaryota; kingdom Metazoa; phylum Chordata; class Mammalia; order Primates; family Hominidae; genus Homo; species Homo sapiens. Next base: position 85,679,673 of record NC_000005.10, read on the forward strand.
TTTTATAACTAATATGACAATGCAAAGAGGTAGGATTGTAAAAAAGAAAAACATCTTTAACAAGAAAAAAATATGGAAGAAAAGAACTACCTTGCTAAAGATTTAATACAAATATCCAAAAACCAACTTAATGGTCTTGACATAAGAATAAGCAAATAGAATAATGGAGTGGAAGAGTCTAGATAAACTGATGCGTATACAGAAAATCAAATTACAACAAATGTTCCAAGTCAACTTAACGTTTAAAGACTTAAAACAAATAACGAGAGAAGAACTTGATAACCATATAGATTAAAAAAATACGCTAAAACCTTACCTTGCATTACACAGATATTAGTTCACTAGGAATCATAAACCTGAACATATAAGGTGAAACCATAATTATTTTAGAGAAAAATACAAAACAATGTATTTATTTTCTTTGGATAGTCAAAGATTTCATTAATCAGGCACAGAATTGTCTGCTATCAAATAAGAAGAGATATAATTTAAATTTTCAAAATTTATAATATCAGCTCGTCAGAGAATTTTTTTTCTTTTTTTTAATAGAGACAAGGTCTCACTATGTTGGCCAAGCTAGTGTTGAACTCCCAAGATGAAGCGATCCTCCTGCCTTGGCCTCACAGGGTGCTAGGATTACAGGGATGAGCCACCACACTCAGTTAACCGACTAATTAATAGGCAAATGACAGAGCATGAAATATTTGTATAGATATATCTGTCCATGTATTCATACTGGTACTATATAAAGAACAATTACAAATTTTCAATAAAAAGACCACTGAATAAAAGGGACAAAGTACTACAGAGACAACTCATAAAGGACATGATATAGTTTGGATATTTGTCCTCACCCAGATCTGATGCTGAATTGTAATTTTCAATGCTAGAGGTGGGGCTTGGTGGAAGGTGTTTGGGTAATGGAATCAGATCCCTCATTGCTTGGTGCTGTCTTTGTGATAGTGAGTCCCTGCAAGATCTAATCATTTAAAAGTGTGTAGTACCTTTCCCCCCACTCTCTTTCTCTCTTGCTCCTGCTCTGGCCATGTGACACACCTGCTCGTCCTTCATCTTCTGCCGTGAGTAAAAGCTTCATGTGCCCTCCCTAGAAGCAGATTTTGGCACTATGCTTCCTGTACAGCCTGCAGAACGATGACCCAATTAAACCCCTTTTCTTATAAATTACCCAGTCTCAGTTACGGCTTTATAGCAATGAAAGAACAATCTAATATAGGACAATATACACATGTCCAGTAAACACATGAAAAGGTATTGAACATAATCAGCAACCTGAACATTGTAAATTAAAAATACATGAGATATCACACCCACTATTATTATAAATATCAAAAAGATTGGAAAAGAAACAACTGTTGAGGAGGATATAAAATTATTAGAATTCTCATAAATTACTGCTGGCAGCATATAATGATGAAATTAATTTGGAAAAACTTTTTGATAGTGTTTTGTAAAGTTAAACACTTAACTACTCTATGATCAAATGACTACATTACTAGATATTTACCCAGGATAAGTGAAAATATATGCCCTCAAAAGACATTTGTAAATATATGTTCATAGCATCTTTAAAAGTCAAGGCTGGAAGAATTGAAAAGTCTATCAATGGGAGAAAGGATAAATAAATTGTGGTTTGTGTATAAAATTGATTACTACCCAACTACCAATAAAAAGTAACTACTGATACAAAACAGCATGCATCATGCTTGCATTTATATTCATTAAAAGAATGCAGACCCAGAAGACTATATACTAAATGATTTCATTTATAATAAAGAAAAATCAAAATTTATATTTTATAATGAAAATTAGAACGTAGTTACCCAGGTGGGAAAATAATTGAGTGGAGTGATCAAAATGTTTTATATGTGCTTTTGTGTAGTGTTACGTGGCAGTTTACAATAATCAAACTCATCCAATTTAACATTGAATATCTATGCATTTCATTGCAAGTAGATTATACTTCAAAAATATATGACATAACTGAGAAACTTTCCCATACATTAATATGAAAATATTTCTAAGAGTCTAATGTACAGATGAGTGGATAGAAGATGCTACTTTATACACTCTGTTTTGTATAATGAAGTGGAAAAATAAGAACATATATTTGCTCTAATTTTTTGCTTATTTAATAAAGAAATGTTGGAAAGTGCATTGGTTCATTTTCATAATGCTATAAAGAACTCCCTGAGAACGAGTAATTTATAAAGAAAAGAGATTTAATTGACCCACAGTTCCACATGGCTGGGGAGGATTCAGGAAACTTACAATCATGGCAGAAGGTGATAGGGAAACAGGCATCTTCTTCATAAAGCAGGAGGAAAGAGAAAGACAGAAAGTGCCACACTATCAGCTCTCATGAGCACTCACTCACTATCACAAGAACAGCATGAGGAAACCGCCCCCATGACCCAATCACCTCCCACCAACTCCCTCCTTCAACACATGGGGATTACAATTTGAGATGACATTTGTGTGGGGACACAGGGCCAAACAATATCAGAAGATCATAAACAAGCCAATTGCATGTTGTTATGTCTGAAGGGATAGGTAATAAGGTATGTAATAAAATGGATGGGACAGAAGTACTAACAATGTATTTATTATTTAAATTTTTACTGTATATACCTTCATTGTTATCCTTTTAGGAGTCATATAAATGTAATGATCACTTAGAAAAATATAATAGGAAATAATCAAATGGTAAGTAGCATTTTGTGAGACATTCTTTTATTTTTATTTAGATGATTTAATTAGTCTGATGTTGTTCAAGGAAATATTTTTGATAGAAAAAGAGAAGGTCAGAAAAATCACATTTTTCCCTTAAGAAAATGCAAACCCCTTTATTTTATTTTACTTTTTTATTTTTGTGGGTACAAAGTGGGTGTATATATTTTTGGGATACATTAAATGGTTTGATATAGGTATGCAATGTGAAATAAGCATGTAATGGAAAATGGGGTATCCATCCCCTCAAGCATTTATTCCTTGAGTTACAATCAAATTATGCTCTTTAAGTTATTTTAGATATGTACAACTATGTTATTATTGACTAAAGTCACCCTGTTGTGCTATCAAATAATAGGTCTTATTTGTCCTATTTTTTGTACCCTTTAACCATCCTCACCTACCTGCCAGCCCAGATATATGATCAAAAGGTCTAAGATTTAGTTAGCTATTAATATTGCAAAGTACGGATTAATATTAATAAAACATGAACATTTTCAGACTTTGCTTTCTTATATTTATTTTAATCAATAGCATATGAATTGTGATTATATTTAAGCCTTCTAATTAGAATTATGTTGAATGTTTTGGGAAAAATACAAGATGCTAATACTGTAGGAACTAATTTAAACTAATTTAGCTGCATGAAGACATCATAAAAGAAAAAGAATTTTTAAAAAGCATTTTAAATTACTCCTACTATTCCTCTTTTACCATCATTGAGCAATAAAGTGCACACAGTGGGAAAATTGACAACACTACTTTGGTAGCAGCAATTCAATTAAACCATAATTATTTGTCACCTGAATGTGAGAAAAGATTTATTTTTCACCACGCTTGTTTTTCTCTATGTTGATGGCTTAATTTTTACATCGAATATACTTAATATTTAATCAATATTATATATTTGGGAAATCTATGAACATAATTAAATTGAAATATATTTTAGTATGTAATTAAAATATATTGCAAATCATATTCTTCCAATATACAGTCACAAAAGAATGTTAACACACTTTAATATCCCATATTAAATAGTCTGACTATACTTTATCTCCTCACATTGACAAATATGTCATTCAATATTTCAGTAAACCCTATCTTCTTTTCTTCTTTTTCTCTCCCTTTTTCTCCTTTTATGTTATTTGATGTGTGTGTGTGTGTGTTTTGTTGTTAAGTGTTCTTTTCTTGATGTAGGGGAAGGATTGAACTAGATGAGGAGGGAATTACTTCTATTTCTTGGTCCGTAATTCTTTACATAATACACTAACAATATCATTATTTAGTGCATGTATATCAGGCATAATTTTAACAGGAATTATGTTTTCCACTCATTTCGTATTTTCCACATATATATAATAATAATTTTCAGTCACCCCAAAGTTTACCTTCCTAAACACTTGCCGGTTGTTTGAATGTTTTAAAGCCATTCAATCTTGGTATATTTTCAATGCTAAGCATCTCACTTTCAGTCTTTTGCCTTCTTTCAACTTTTTGTCTTTTCTTAAATACTTGTTGCGTTATACAACTTTTTCGTCCATTCATATTTAATGAACAAACCAGTATTAAGTAAAATTTTCCAAGGCCCAAGTTTAAAAAGTTCTAATGTAAATAGTGAGCAATAATTTTTATACCTCTCTTCCTATACGTTCTTTGCTGATATTATTTTTCTTTAAGTTAAAATAGCAGTGTATAACTGTGTTAGGTTTCTCTTTTCCCTTCATTATTTAAGATATTGATTTTTTTTACTAAATAAAACATGCTTTACTTTCTTTCAGTAGTCCCCTCCTCCCCCAGTTTTTCTTCATCTCCCTAGGTCTTTCTTACCTTCTTCATAAAAGAAACTATGTCCAACCTGAACAGAGAATACAGCCCAGAGATTTACCTGAAATTACAGGGAGAAATCTAATCCTTTCAGTGAAGTTGTCACACTGGTAATATAAGCCCAAAGCTGCTGGTATTCTTGACAGAGACAGTGCTTGCCTACATGTGAATGAAACTCAGTTAATTCTCACAGAGATAAATATCCACAGAATGTTATTTTTAAATTTAACTCCCACGCACATGTCAACCTGAATTTGCTTTGGGCCAAATATGCTTCACTTTTTTGTGCCAAACACCAAATGTGTCATATGTTGCCGTTACGTAGAATATGGAATGATCTAGTTTAGCTGGATTACTCTTCCCTCGGATCTTTCAATTCACTGGCAAGAGGCAGAGTCTCATTTACTATAAAAAGATATGCCCAAGTGTGAGAATCTAATTAACTATCCAAGAAGGAATAAGTTCCTACTAAATATTGTCTTGCTTAGTGTAATACTGATGAGAATGGTAGCTCTTTGTTTACTTTTACTTAGGCTTTCCCATTTAGAGTGGCAGCTAATCTTGAGGCAGTGGGACAATGGTCAAAATTCTGCAAAATCAACAAGAAGTTGGAGTAATTCTAAGTCATTCATTTCTCCTGAAGTCAATCAGATGTACTTAAAACAATAATTGCGAGGAGTGGGAGCTATTTTTTTATGGCCAACATTCAGATGAAATTAAGGTCAATTTGAAAAGATCAGATCATGAAGGTACAGAGAATAGACAGGGATTTTGCTGAGACATGGGGAGATGGTAAGCTGTATTCAAAACATTTGGGTAGACCAAGACTCTCTAGATCACATTGTATAAGCTCTATGCTTCGGAAGCTCAGGGCTATTCAAGCTTCTGCTGGTAGGTGACTGACCTGTCATTCCATGGGTCATGTGGAATATCAATGCTAAATGAGTCAAACTTTCTGGTATACCTTAGAGCTCACTTATTTGAATATACTGCTTACATATATACTAATTTTCTTTTCCATTCACTAATATTAAATGTAAAGTCATCAATCTTTGCTGTGTCTTTATTTTATTTTTTCTTTAAAACTTTGCTCTTCAGCATTAGAAATTTCTATTAATGTATTATTCTAGGACTTTGTATATTTCATCACATCACAAAAAATAAAAAGAAGAGACCTTAAGGATGTGATATCTCATTTTTTTCACTTTTTAATGGAGATGCAATCACATATAAAATTCACTATTTTAAAGTATACAACCCAGTAGCCTTTAGTATATTTACATAGGTGTGTAACTGTCACCATGATCTAATTCCAGAACATTTTTCTCATCAAAATAATGAACCCTATATCCATTAGCACAAACTTCCTATCCCATTATATTATCCTAGTAGATATGAATAGATACCTCATTGTGGATTTGATTTGCATTTTCCTAACACCTAATGATGTTGAGCATATTTTCATGTGTTTATTGGACATCTGTATATCTTTTTTGGAGATATGTCTATTTAAGTAATTTGCCTATATTTTAAGTTGGGTTATTTGTCTTTCTCTGTTGAGTGTAAGGGATCTTTACATATTCTGGATATTAAACTCTTACCATATATATATATATATATATATACTGTATATATATATATACAGTATATATATATATACACACACACACTCTATATATATACACACACTATATAAATAGTATATGTATAAAATTTGCAAATATTTTCTCTGATTTTGTGAGTTATCTTTTTATTTTGACAGTATCTTTTGAAGCACAAGAGTTTATACTTTTGATGAAGTCCAATTTAGCTATTTTTTTCTAATTGCTTGTACTTTAATGTCATATCCAAGAAAACTTTCCTAATCCAGACACAAATATTAACACCTATGTTTTTAGAATTTAGATCTTAGTTCTTACATTTAGATCAGAGATTTATTTTTGTACATGGTATGAAATTAGAGTCCAAGTTTGTTCTCTTTAATGTGAATATTCACTTTTACCAGCCCCATTTCTTAAAGATATTATTATTTATCAATAAAATGTTATTTGTACCTTGTTGCAAATCAACTGCCCATAGATGTATGATAATATTTCTGGATTTTCAATTTCATACCATTGATCTATATCTATATCTATCCTTATGACAGCACCATGCTGTCTTATTTATTAAATACTGTACATTTGTATTTAACTTTGGATTCAGGAAGTGTAAATTCTTCAATTTTGTAGTTTTTTCAAGAGTGTTTTGCCTATTCTGGGTCCCCTAAAATGCTATATGCATTTTATGTTCAGCTTATCTATTTCTTTAAAAAAGAAAATAGGCACTTGAAAATTTTCATTGGAATTTCATTCCGTCTGTAGATCAATTTAGGGAGTATGGCCATTTAGGTCCTTTTTTATTTCTCTCAACAATGTTTTCTAGTTTAAGAGTACATGCTTGCACTTCTATCATGAAATTAATCTCTAAATATTTTACTATTTTCATATGATTTAAGATAAAATTGTTTCTTAAATTTCATGTTTAGTCTGTTTATTTCCATGATATAGAAGTAAGCTTCTGGAACCTTGCTAAACTAATCTGTTGAGTCCATTTTTTCCTCTGTTTGAACTTTTTGGAGTTTTCTGTATGTAAAATCATGTCATGTGCAAATTGTTTTACTTCTTCCTTTCCAACATGGATGTTTTTATTTGTTTTTCCTGCCCATGCTTTGGTTAGGGACTACAGTGCAATGTTGAACAGATGAGGCAAGAGTGGACAGCCTTGCCTTTATTTTAAAGGAAAAGCTTTTAGTCTTTCATCAAGTGTGATGTTAATTGTGGATTTGTTTGTTTGTTTTAGTAAATGATCTGAATCAAGTTACAGTAGTTTCCTTTTAGTTCTACTTTGTTAGGGTTTTATGATAAAAAGGTTTTGGATTTTTTGAAAGGCTTTTTGTGTGTGTATGTGTCTATGTTACATGTATGTTTATTTTATGTGGCATATAATATTGTTAGCTTCTTCATATGTTGAAAAAGACATGTTTTCCTAGAATAAATTCTACTTGGCCATGGTGTATAGTTCCTTCTATATCCTCCTAGAATGTTGTTAACAATTTTTGTTCCACATTCATAAAAGAAAATGGTCTGAAGTCTCCTTTTTGTGATTTTTTGGTTTTGGTATCAGGGAAATATTGACCTCATACAGGAAATTAAAAATGTTCTATTTTTTTGAAACAATTTGTGAAGGATTGTCATTAATTCTTACTTAATACTTTGATTGGGATTCCAGTGAAGCATTCTTATTCTGTGCTTTTCTTTGTGGTAGTATTTTTGAATACTAAATCAGCCTTTTTACTTGGCATAAGTCTATTTAGATTTTCTGTCCTTCTTGAGTCAATTTTTTGTAGTTTTTGTCTTTCTAGGCATTTTTCCCAAAGAAAGTTTGATTTCGATAATTTTCACTGTTGTTTTCCTATTCCGAATTTCACTTTCACTCTAATCTTTATTATTTGTTTCTTTGTACTCAGTTTAGGTTGAGTTTGCTTTTCTTTTTCCAACATCTTAGGGTCAAATATTAAGTGATTGATTTTAGATCTCTCTTCTTGTTTAAATATTTTGTTTGTATAGTGACTTATTGGAACTAATTTTGTAAATTATGTGTCTTTGTCATGTGTAGCCACTGAAGTCTGCATTTTGTTAATTTAGTGACCAGCTAATGATTAGATACACTTTTCCCTAAAAGCCTGAAATTAATACACCTCAGTTTTGCTGAAGGACTCTGTGCATATTTGGGCATGCCTTCAATACTCAAACAAACAATTTACATCTTTACCTAACTCTTTACTTCTTACTTTCTCAGAGCCTCAAGCTCAGTTGGAGTTAAAAGATTAGGGTCATCTCAGGTTCTTCCCAGGCATGTGCATGATTGTAACCTCTAGATTTCCAGGAATATGTCACAAATTTTCAGAGCCCCTATGGACATCTAAATGCCTCAGCTTCTCTTTTTTTCAATTTTTTTTAGTCTATTGTTTGTTCCAACTATTATCCATTGCCTCAGGCAGCTTTGATGTTAAGATGTTTGACAAACCAGCAGCCTCCCCATCCCCAGAAACTTTTAGCACTGGATCAAATAAGCATAAGTCTTCTGATTGGGATCTACCAGGGAATGACAGACAGGTCACATGATGAATATTCTTTGGGAATTCAGCTTGGAAAGAGCTCCAGCCCCATTTTACTCTCTCTGGTACCAAGAATATGGGCTGTTATTTTTCAAGGAAGCTGAAGATTTGAGGACCAGGAGTTGGAGAAAGGTAAATAATAATACCATAAATTCACTCTTATTGCTGAAGTTCAGTCATTTTTTTGCCTAAATTTTTATTGGTCCTGTGAGCCTTTGGTTCATTTTTAGAGTTAACAGAAGTCTGATCTGAAAATTTTTTGCCCTTTTGTGGTGGACAAAATTTTCAGAAATCCTCTTTCTACCATTTTCACTGATGGTACCGAATTATTTTCATTTTTTAATTGAGATCTAATGAGCCATATACTTAATTTGTTCAAAATGATATGCAGTGCCATCTGATCAAGTCCCATCCATAAAATGTACGTGACACACAAAATTCTAAAATTATGTACTATTACTGCCCTTCTGGGGCAATTGCCCATGATCATTAAGAACTATTTTGCACATATTGTGTCACATCCAAATTCTACATTTTTGACCTACTGTGGAAAAAAATGCACTTTTAAACCATATCAACTTGATTAGAGTTTTCCAGAAAGTCTATAAATATGATGAATTGTGGCCATTATAGAATTAAATAATATGTATTCATTCTGCATTTCTTTGAAAATAATCTTATAGAATAACAGGTAGCATATCTATTTTGGTTTTCATACTTTCCTCCAGTAATATATGGACTCTTAAAATTTGTTGGCCTTGCTATTCAGTGTTATATCTCACAAAGTTTTCCATTTTCTGAAAGAGAGAGTTGAAGTATGAATAGGTGCTGGCCTAATTTCGTTCCTCTTTGATTGTACTGGAGTACATGCATTCTTTATTTCACAATGGGGAAAGCATGTGTGATGATTGGAGTGTACTGACAAGGAAGAAAAATTCAAGTTGTGATTTCTCTTTTAAACAGAGATCTGTTCAAAAAGCAGAAGAGATTAATGGGTAAGGATATTAGCTTTCTATTTTCCAAGGCTTAGACAATGTTTAGATATTCTGTTCAAAATGCAAACTCTTTTATATAATTTCTCAACACAAACATACAAACAATAGGCTGCAAAAATGTTTCTATCACTGCTAGTTAATCTATCAATAAATGCAATATTTGCCTAGTTATTATATTTTAAAAGTGGAATAATTTGAAAACTTCATGGTCATATAATTTTATCAAGTATAAAATATTCTTCTCACATTCATTTAATTGAAAACATTTATTAGAATTTGCATATTTTAGGACAAGAAGCTAAGTATTATGCTAGTACTGTCAAGTCACACAACCTCTCTTGTCCTCTCTTCTTAATTTTCCATACATATTTTAAACTCTTTCCTTGCCCCAAGTATTGTTAATAAAACATGAGTAAACTGTGTACTTTGGAATCAAGAAGCATATACTCTAATAGAGGAGATGTCAAAAAAACATTATCAAATTTAAATCCTCCCTTTACCTCTCAGGATTTTTCTTCTCAACTCCCATATGAACATTTATTTCACATTCATTAAATACCATCAATACATAAATGCATTAATTGATTACTCAACCTTCTCCACAGTCCATTATTTAAAGTTAGTTTTCTTGTATTAAATAATGTTTGTAAAGATGATATGACATACCACACACTGAACTAAGACTGTTCAGTGCCTTGTTTTATTTAATCTTCAGAAACCCTTATGAAGGTGCTGGTATTTTAACCATGGCACTGATAAACAAATGAGCCTTAAAGAATTTAAGTAACACATAAGTTAAGAAAATCTTTAGCTTCAAGCAAACAAAAATTTAAGTAGCCAAGATTGAGATATATTTTCATAATAACATGTCTGAAAATAATTTGTCGCTGTAATTTCTTTAGTAGATTATCCATGTTAGTTTAGAAGCTATACTGAACCTCTCCTCAGTTTCAATATAGCTGTCCAAGCTCGACTTACCAATTTTCCTTCAAGCTGAAGGACAAAAGAGATCCAAGTAGCAATGCCTAACCTTTTATTAGGAAAATAAACTTTTCTCAGGAAACCCTCAACAGAGTCCACCTTACTACACTTTTCCACAATGGCATCATATTGCTGCCATTTTCTACTTTAATATTGGGAATGCAAGTATATATAGCCATAGAGGAGTTTGAAAAGGAAAAAGAGATATGGGAATGAATGACTGATATCATCTAAGTCAGTGTCACCACCTTCTGTCACTGAACACATTTTTTAAAAATATTATTTCATATGTTGTAAGACTTTATAGAACAGTATCACAGTAAATGTGATTCTCTACAATTTGCTTTTTTTCTTGATATATTTTTAAAACTCCATCAGATACCTGCAGTTCCAGTTCAATTTTACAGCTAAATAGTATTCTATTGAGTAAATATAACAAAATGTATTCATTAGAGCCCCACAAAATTTTTCTTTTCATAGGTCAAAAAAAGGTTGTATAACATCAGTTTCAAATGACTTAATCTGATGTGTCCATTGTCCTTTTGATGGACATTTAGAATGTTTCCAAACAGATTAACTATGAATATTTTTGTATATGTTTTCTTACAAAATATGTAAGATTAATTTAGGTAATGCTTCCCAAAGATTATTTCTTTTTCTTTTTCTTTTTTTTTAATTTTTGAGACAGAGTTGCACTCTGTCACCGAGAGTTGAGTGCAATAGCGTGATCTCAGCTCACTGCAACCTCCGCCTACCAGGTTCAAGTGATTCTCCTGTCTCAGCCTCCTGAGTAATAGCTGGGATTACAGGTGCCCACCACCACACCCAGCTAATTTTTTGTATTTTTAATAGAGACAGGGTTTCACCATGTTCCCCAGGCTGGTCTTGAACTCCTGAGCTCAGGCAATACACCCCCTTCAGCCTTCCAAAGTGCTAGGATTACAGGCATGAGCCACTGCACCCAGCTGATTATTTCTTAACATTGTGCACATAGAAATTATATTGTTTAAACATTGGCCAGGTGCGGTGGCTTATACCTCTGGTCCCAGCACTCTGTGAGGTTGGCAGATCACCTGAGGTTGGGAGTCCAAGACCAGCCTAGCTAACATGGCAAAAACCCAGCTCTAGTAAAAATACAAAAATTTTCTGGTTGTAGTGGTGTGTGCCTGTAATTCCAGTTATTTGGGACACTGAGGCAGGAGAATCTTTTGAATCCGAGAGGAGGAGTTTGCAGTGAACCGAGATCATGCCACTGCACTCCAGCCTGGGTGACTGAGCAAGATTCTGCCTCAAAAGACAGCAACCTCTACCCTCCCCAAAAAAACAACATTAAATCTGGGTAAACTGAGAGCCTTCTTATAGATGTTGGTGACTGGCCCTCGAGCTGTGGCCACCACAGGCACCTGGCCCCATTTCTAACCTATCAGTGTGTCATTTGTAGCACACCCTGTTTGGAGTTTCACCCCAGAGATTATTCTGTACATCTATTACATTATTATTTCACTGTATACTTATTGGTCTTCTATAAAAAATAAATTGTAGCTTTTTTGGTTTTACGTTATTTCTGCTCTTACATTAATAATAGAAATTACTCACATATTGCTGATTATAACCTAGGCACTTGATAAGCACTTTTCAAGTATTTATTCATGTAATTTTCACAGCCCCACCATGAGTTTATCCTCATTGATATAAGGGGGAACTAAAGTGTGTTCAGGCTAAGAAATTCACCCAAGGTCACTGCTTTAGTAGAGTGCAGAAACTGCTTTGAACTAAGACAGTCTGGCTTCCAACTCTCAGTTCTTAACCATTATGCATTATAGCCCTTTTTAATTTTCTTCCTTCGACTCTGCTTGAGTAGTGTTGATTATGTTACATTTATATTTTATACCCTAGAGAGATATATAGCTTCCATTTTTCTAGTTTCATAAGATAGCTATATTGCTCATTATTTTCAGGCTTTCTTTTTTCCTGTGTAAGGTTTTGAGAAAGAGAAAATCAACTTTGGACAGCAGGAAACTGGCCTGGTACTATCAGCTAGACTGTGGTGTTCTCCTGTTAAAAAAAATTTCACAAAACGCTAACATCAGATAAAGCCACTCTATGAATGTGATGGAATCAGACTACTCTGTAACCATGCTGAAACACAGATGAAGTACCAATAGTGTTCAAGCCACACACAAAAAAAAACAAGCACTCCCCTCTCCTGGGTGGCATGAGTGACTGTTGCTTCTTTACCAGGCACTGCTTTACCCTCTATTCATTTCTCTTTCCTGCTAGATAAAATTATTAACATAACTAGTCAGAATTCTCCTCACTTCCTGAGAGCATTCAATCTATAGTAAAGCACTACTTCCTTAAAGTCTCTCCAAAAGCATCTAGCACAAATCAAAATCTTACAATAAGCCTTCTCATACCCTCTTATTGAGACCTCCCAAGATTTCCTCCTATATGAGGTTTCCCTATTGCAGTCAATAAGCCAACCAGTGGTGAATTTCTTGTAATCTTTGGCTGGAAAATATTCACAACATAAAGCCAAAAATTAAATTGTAAATACTGCTTTGCTTACCTAATTACTCTTAAGTCCAAAATGTTTTTATTATTGTTTTAATCTCATGTTTTGAATTTCTAATAGGATTTTCCCCCTCTGGTAGTCCACAGTCTGTTGTTCCCATGTTTATGTTCACGTGTGCTCATTGTTTAGCTTCCACTTATATGTGAGAGCATGCATTATTTGGTTCTCTGTTCTTGTGTTGATTTGTTCAGGATTATAGCCTCCAGCTGCATTCATGTTGCTGCAAAGGGCATCAACCTAGGTGCCCATCAATGGTGGATTAGATAATGAAAATGTGGTACATATACACAATAGAACACTATGCAGCTACAAAATATACGAGTAATATTTAAAACAAAGTTTTTCCTTTGGCTTTGTGCTCAAATGATAGCTTATAAGGTATGCAATTCAAGACCAATGGTTAGTTTCCGTCACAGTTTTAAAGATAATTCCACATCAAATGGCCTTTTCTGTAATTGTGAAACCTGACATCAATGTATCATTCTTTTGAAGGCAATCTCTCTTTTTCCTCTGATTCATTTTTAACATTCTCTTTTGTTCTTGATATTTTGTAGTTTTACTAAATTGGTTATGACTTTCTAATTATTAATATGCCTGACAATTTGCTTTGCATAGTGTATTAGTCCATTCTTACACTGCAATGAAGATACTACCTCTGAGACTGGGTAACTTGTAAACAAAAGATGTTTAATTGACTCACAGTTCCACATGGCTGGGGAGGCCTCAAGAAGCTTACAATAATGGTAGAAGGTGAAGGGGAAGCAGGCAGGCACCTTCTTCACAAAGCAGCAGGAGAGAGTGAGAGAGCACAAGGAAGTGCCACACTTTAAAACCATTAGTTCAGGTGAGAACTCATACACTATCACAGAAACAGCATGACAGAAACTGCCCCCATGACCCAATTACCTCCCACCAAGAACCTCCCTCCACACATGGGGATTACAACTAGAGATAGGATTTAGGTGGGGACACAGAGACAAATCATGTTATTTTGCCCCTGGTTACTCCCAAATCTCATGTTCGTTTCACATTTCAAAGCCAATCATGCCTTCCAAACAGTCCCTTAAAGTCTTAACTCATTCCAGAATTAACCCAAAAGTACAAGTCCAAAGTCTCATCTGAGACAAAGCAAGTCCCTTTTGCCTATGAGCCTGTGAAATCTAAAACAAGTTAGTTACTTCCAAAATACAATGGGGATACAAGCATTCAGTATCCCCAATTCCAAAAGTCAATTGGCCAAAATAAAAAGGCCATAGTTCCCCATGCAAATCCAAAACCCTGGAAGGCAGTCATTAAATCTTAAAGCTCCAAAATCTCCTTTGACTCCATGTCTCACATCCAGGGCATGCCAATTCAAAGGGTGGGGTCCCAAAACCATGGGCAGCTCCAGGCCTGTTGCTCTGCAGGGTACACCCCCCGTAGCTGCTTTTACAGGCTGGCATTGAGTGTCTGTGGCTTTTTCAGGTGCATGGGGCAAGCTGTCAGTGGATCTACCTTTCTGTGGTCTGGAGGATGGTGGCCCTCTTTTCACAGCTCCACTAGGCAGTGCCCCAGTGGATACTGTACGGGAGCTCCAACCCCACATTTCCCTTCTGCACTGCCCTAGCAAAGGTTCTCTGTGAGGGCTCTGCCCCTGCAGCAGACTTCTGCCTGCACCTCCAGACTTTTCCATATATCCTTTAAAATTTAGGTGGAGACTCCCAAAGCTCAACTCTTGTCTTCTGTGTACCCACAGGCCCAACGATTTACACCAACTTCCCTTGGTCAATTTAATTAAATTATTTTGTCTTAAGGGGTTCCTTTTTTGTGTGTGTCTCTATCTCCTTCAGTTCAGCTCTGATTTTGGTTATTTCTTGTGTTCTGCTAGCTTTGGCGCTGGTTTGCTCTTGCTTCTCTAGTTCTTCTAGTTGTGACATTAGGTTGTAATCTGAGATCTTTATAACTTTTTAACGTAGGCATTTAGTGCTATAAGTTTCCAACTTAAC
Source organism: Homo sapiens (assembly GCF_000001405.40). Classification (NCBI taxonomy): domain Eukaryota; kingdom Metazoa; phylum Chordata; class Mammalia; order Primates; family Hominidae; genus Homo; species Homo sapiens. The sequence goes on from NC_000005.10 coordinate 85,694,940, forward strand.
ACTGCTTGAGCCATGCCTCAGAGATTCTGACATATTTTGTCTTTGTTCTCAAAAGTTTCAAAGAACTATTTCATTTCTGCTTGAATTTTATTATTTACCCAAGAGTTGTACAGGAGCAGGTTCTTTAATTTCCATGTAACTGCATGGTTTTGAGCAATTTTCTTGGCTTTGATTTCTATTTTTATTGGACCGTAATACAAGAGTGTGGTTGTTATGATTTTAGGTTTTTTGAGTTTGCTGAGGGTTGTCTTATTTCAGATTGCACAGTGAATTTTAGAGCATGTACCATGTGGTGATGAGAAGAATGTATATTCTGTTGTTTTTGCATGGGGAGTTCTGTAAATGTCTATCAAGTCCATTTGGTCAAGTGTTAAGTTCAATTCTTGAATATCTTTATTAATTTTCTGCCTTGATGATCTATCTAATGCTGTCAGTGTGATGTTGAAGCCTTGTACTATTATATTGTGGGAATCTAAGTCTCTATAGTTCTCTAAGAAGAATGAAAAAAAATATAAAGTATCAACAAATCCAGCAGTTTGTTATTTGAAAATAATAATAAGATAATCTAATACCTAGACTAATAAAGAAGAAAAGAAAGAAGATCCAAATAAACACAATCAGAAACAACAAAGGGAACATTACTACTCACCCCACAGAAATACTTCTATGCAAACAAATTAGATAATCTAGAAGAAATGGATAAATTCCTGGACACATACACCTTCCCAAGACTGAACCAGGAGGAAACTGAATTCCTGAACAGACCAACAATGAGCTCTGAAATTAAATCAGTAATAGATAGCCTACCAACCCCCTCCCCAAAATGCCCAGAAATAGATGAATTAATACCTGAATTCTACCAGATATAAAAAGAAGACCTGGTGCCATTCCTACTGAAGATATTCCAAAAAATTGAGGAACGGGGACTCATCTTCAACTCATTCTATGAGGCAAGCATTTTCCTAATACCAAATCCTGGCAGAGACACAATGAAAAAAGAAAACATTATACCAATATCTCTGATAAAGATTGATATGGTTTGGCCCTGTGTCCCCACTCAAATCTCATCTCAGACTGTAGTCCCTACATGTCAGGGGAGAATCATGGTGGAAGATGATCAAATCATGAAGGTAAATTTGCCCCTTTCTGTTCTCATGATAGTGAGTGAGTTCTCACAAGATTTGATTGTTTGAAAGTGGGTGGCACTTCCCTTTCACGTGATCTCTCCTGCCATCATGTAAGATGTGACTTGCTTCCCCTTTACCTTCCACAATGATCATAGGTTACATGAAACCTCCCCAGCCATGTTCAACTATGAGTCAATGTAACCTCTTTTCTTCATAAATTATCCAGTCTCAGGTAGTTCTTTATAGCAGTGTAAAAATGGACTAATATTTTCAACAAAATAATAGAGAACTGACTTCAGCAGCACATCAAAAAGCTAATCCACCACAATCAAATAGGCTTTATCTCTGGGATGCAAAGTTGGCTCAACATATGCAAATCAATAAATGTAATTCATCACATAAACAGAACTAAAAAAACCTCATGATTATCTCAACAGATGTAGAAAAGGCTTTCAATAAAATTCAACACTCCTTCATGTTAAAAACACTCAATAAACTAGGTATTGATGGAACACATAATAAGAGGAGTCTATGACAAACCCACTGCCAACATCATACTTAATGGGCAAAAGCTGGACACATTTGCATTTAAAACTGGAGAGCGTGAGTATACTCTCAATCACCAATCCCATTTAACAGTACTTGAAGTTCTGGCCAGATCAATCAGGTAAGGGAAAGAAATAAAAGGCATCCAAATAGGAAGAAAGAAAGTCAAACTATCCCTGTTTGAAAATGACACTATTCACTAGCTAGAAGTCTCCATAGTCACTGCCCAAAAGCTCCTTGAGGTGACAACCAACTTCAGTAAAATTTTTGGATACAAAATCCATGTACAAAAATCAGTAGCATTCCTATACAGCAACAGCACGCAAGGTGAGAGTCAAATCAGGAAAGCAATCACATTCGCAATTGCCACAAAAACAATAAAATATGTAGGAATACAGCTAAGCAGAGAAGAGAAAAATCTCCACAATGAGTATTACAAAACATAGCTCAAGGAAATCAGAGATGACACAGACAAATAGAAGAAAATTCCATGTTCTTGGATAGGAAGAATCAATATTGTTAAACTTGCCCTATGTCCCAAAGTAATGTACATATTCAGGGCTGTTCCTATCAAACCACCAATGACATTTGTCACAGAATAAGAAAAGCTATTCTAAAGTTCATATGAAAACAAAAAGGAGCCTGAATAGCCAAGGCAATCCTAAGCAAAAAGGAAAAAACTGGAGGAATCACATTGCCTGACTTCAAACTGTATTACAAGGCTACACTAACCAAAACAAGATGATACTGGTACAAAAACAAACATATAGACTAATGGAACAGAATTGAGAAGCCAGAAAGAAAAGCAACAGACAACAATTTGGTCTTTGACAAAGCTGACAAAACAAGCAATGGGAAAAGGAGTCCTCATTTAATAAATGGTTTTGAGATAACTGGTTAGCTATCCGCAGAAGATTGAAACTGGACCCTCTCATTACACCACATACAAAAATAAATTCAAGGTGGATTAAAGACCTAAATGTAAAACCTAAAACTATAAAAACCCTGGAAGATAACCTTGGACATACATTTTTGACATAAGAACTGGCAAAAATTTCATGATGAAGACGCCTAAAGCAATGGCAACGAAAGCAAAATTGTTAAATGGGACCTAATTGAAGAGCTTCTGTACAACAAATAAACTATCAACACATAAATATGCAACCTATGGAATGAGAGAAAATATTTGGGAACTATACATCTGACAAAGGTCTAATATCCAGAATTCACAAGGACCTTAAAAATTCACAAGCAAAAACCAAACAACCCCATTCGAAACTGGGCAAAGGACATAAACAGACCCTTTTCAAAAGAAAACATAACATGCAGCCAACAAACATATGAAAAAAATGCTCAATATTATTATACAAATCATCAGAGAAATCCAAATCAAAACCACAATAAGATATCATCTCACACCTCTCAGAATGGCTATGATTAAAAAATTAAAAAATAACATTCTGGAGAAGTTGCAAAAAAAAAGGGAACACTTATGAACTGTTAGTGGGAGTGTAAGTTACTTCAAACATTGTGGAAAGTCTTGTGGCCATTCCTCAAAGTACTAAAAACAGAACTACCATTCAACTCAGCAGTCGCATTACTGAGTGTATCCAAAGAAATATAAATCCCTGCTACCATAAAGACATATGCATGCATATCTTCATTGCAGCACTTTTCACAATAGCAAACACACAGAATCAACCTAAATGCCCATCAATGGTAGACTGGATAAAGAAAATGTGGTACATATACACATGCAATACTATGCAGCCATGAAAAGAACAAGATCATGTCTTCTGCAGGAACATGGTTGGATCTAGAGGCCATTAACCTTAGCAAACTAACGCAAGAACAGAAAACCAAATACTACATGTTCTCACTTATAAGTGGGAGCTAAATTATGAGAACACACGCACGGAAAGAGAGGAATGACAGACACTGGGGCCAACCTAGGGGTGGAGGTTCGGAGAAGTGAGATGTTCAGAAAAAAAAAAAAAAAACTGTTGGGTAATATGATTAGTACCTTGGTGATGAAATAATCTATATACCAAACTCCCAAGTCATGAGTTTACCTGTATAATAAACCTGCACATATACCCCTGAGCTTAAAATAAAAATTAAGATATTTTTTAAAAAGGAGTTTCCTGGATTCTGAATTTATTATAATTTGAATCACAACCTGACAAAGAGAAGAGCTGCTCTTTATAAATTTTCTACTTCCTTTCTTTCACCTCTTCATATACATTTCTCATTTTTTCTCTTCTTCCTCATTTTTCTCTCTACCTTCAGTTTAATATATTATTTTATATTATCATCATTTTTATTTGTATTGTTTAGAAAATTTTTTAATCCTTGTTTTTTCTTTGACTGTGTACTCCTGTGAGAGTACTGGTCTGGCTTTTTTTAGAGGTCTCATTCCTAATTACCACCTAAGTAGTCCAAGATTATTTTTGCTTCCCTTCTGGCCATTAAATCCCAGGACTCTAGGCTGTGGATACTGGTAAATAACCTGAGAGTACATGCATTATCTAATCAACTTGGTTTGCCATTCTTTCCTTATTTTTGACACTTGGAGATTATGCTAATTTTTTTACAAATTGTAGCTATACATTAAAAGTATGTTTCTGCTTTGCAAAGAGAAGCCATTTCAGGATTTCTAATTCATTACATCCCCTCAAATGAAAATCTCGTAGGTTGTCAAGGTATAACACAATGTGCTCTTGTTTATTTGCTATTATTATTAATTATTATTTATTATTATTTTGAGACAGAGTTTCCTTCTTGTTGCCCAGGCTGGAGTGCAATGGTGCTATCTCAACTCAGTGCAACCTCCGCCTACTGGGTTCAAGTGATTCTCCTGCCTCAACCTCTCAAGTAGCTGGGATAACAGGTGCCCATCATCAAACCCGGCTAATTTTTTGTATTTTAGATGGAGATTGGGTTTCACTATGTTGGCCAGGCTGGTTTTGAACTCCTGTCCTCAGGTAATCCACCCTCCTCGGCCTCCCAAAGTGCTGGAATTACAGGAGTGAGCCACCGTGCCCGGCCTATTTGCTGTTATTTACTTGGGCTTCCTAAAAGTCAATTCTCTATTTCACCATCCTGTTACAAATGGCCATAATTTCAGTCTATTCAGTTAATATGCCTCTTTTAATATCCCTTAAATTTCCACTGGTTATTAAAGAACATTCCTTAGTCTTCACAATTTACATCAACATGAATAATATTTCTCTTAATAGTTGTTGGATACATAGTTACTACCACACAATCCAGTTTTCAATAGTGATCGTCTAATTATTTCGTGTTATATTCAAACCAATTCAAAACCTTATGAAGACATCAATCTTTTACAGTTACTTTAGATCACCACCTCCTCTATAGGACTGGACACTTATTGGACATCTAATAATACATGTTCACTCACTTATTACTTCGTAGTTCAACTGATATATTTAGTTTTAAATATTGAAATTAGAATAATATCACACTTTTAAAAGTTAACAATATTGAGGTACAATTTACATGCAACAACATTAATATGTTTCTAAATCTTAATGCTTTTTCCCAATATATACTCTTGTGCAAACCTCTCTTTCATCAAAATATGAAATATTTCTATTTCCCCAGAAAGTTGCCATCTGCCATCAGTCTTGACTCCAACTGTCACCCTAGGAAACCACCAATATAATTCCTTTCTATCTTAAAATATATATATATATATATATATATATATATATGAACGTATTTGTGCATATATTTTATAAATTTATATGTAATATATTATATTACATACCCCCATAATATATACAACATATACTACATAAAATTGTAGAACAGGCAAATTTAATGTGTAATGACAGAACTATATAAAACGATATACATGTATATACATGATTTTTTGTCATTATAGATTACATTTGCCTGTCCTACAATTTTATACAGATAGAATTATAAAGTATGTATTTTGTAGCACTCTAATTTTTAAAGGTATATAAACTACATATATAAGTCCACTAAAATGGGTCCAGTTCTGTCAGCCAGAAAGCCATATCTGATCTTAAAGCATACATTAATAAACTAAACACAGCATTTTCTGTTTTTAATTTACTTGTCTTAATATCCCGGCCATTATCTAAAAAATACCAATGTCCATCTTATATTAGACTGCTTTTAAACACCTTAATACATTATATTATTTTATTCATATCATTCTCTTCTGAGATACTAGATTTTGTTGAATCTAAAGTGCTATGGAAAATAATATACACCATTATTTTATGACCTATTAAATTTCAAAGTATAAGTTGAATGACTATTGATTGTAAGATTGCAAAAATCTCAATATCTGAGATTTTAAAATGTGAAAAAATCTTTATTGTTATAAAGAGTGTATCATTCTTTTTGCATGTATTTTCTATGAATAAAATCAAATAGAGCTGATTTTGTAATAACTATTTTATATTTTTATTACCTTTAATATGTTATATGCTATGTTGAAAGCTATTAGAAACATAGTAGCTGAATAAGCAAATGAATCAACATAGATTGGTGAAGGCAAAGGAATCTAGTCTTATACTGTTTGTTTTGAGCGGGCAAAATAACCAAAGTGAAAAAAACAGTTTTATTTGTTTTGCATATGTGTTGGGAAAGATCAAATCTGAGTCAGAAAAATTTGTAAATATGTATAATGGAGACTACATGTAAAATACTTGAGCTACTCGAAAGATAATTACACACACACACACACACACACACACACACAAAATATGTTCAAAAATCTAAAAGTTATATTGCCTATTCATTTTTCACACAGATCTGTAAATTTCTGTAAAACATGATTTTAATCGCTAATGACTCTAGTTATTAGCATTCCAATAAACAATATTACACATATGAAAATATATATGCCTACACACCTTGTATATTTTAGTTAATATGTTTTTAAATAAGTTGATAAAATTTATAACATGATTTCATATAATTTGGTTTCTTTTACATCAGAAGTGTATTAGCATTTTATTTTCTAACTAATTTTTCTTATTACTGTAAGAAAATGATGTGTGGCCTTTTCCTAATGGCAGCAACAAGTAATAGGACTACCAAAGTTTAACTAACGAAGTACTATACAAAGTATGACTACCTAAGAAATATAAAACTTCTCTACCAAAGAAATGTGTTTTTTTTTAATGGTAGCAACATTATTGCTTTTCTAGGACCTAGTGATCCTTATAAAAGTAATTTATAGTAGGCATTATATAGCTTGTCTTTCTCAGTTTATTTACAATTAGATGAATTACTCCAGTGATTTCTGAAGTTTAAACTTAGCATTACTAAAGTTGAAATCATACTGGAAATGAAATCTTTACTTACCTATAATTCTAGTGAAGGTAAAAATATATCAAACATCACTTTTATTTAAGAAACTCTGAAAAACATTGCATTAAAAACAGAGAAAGCACAGCAGATGTATAGATATATCTTTTCAGTGCTATGACTTCCAATGATAAATTTGTGATGAAAATACCTCTATTTTTAGAGAAACACAACATCCCTTGATTATATGTTTATAATTATGTTTATATTTTATTTCTTCTAAATTATTTTGGAAAATTTTTAGACCTACAGAAAAGTTTAAAGATTAGTATGATAAAAATCTATATAGCCTTCACCTCTATTCATCAATTGTTATTACATTTTGCTGTGTGTGTGTGTGTGTGTGTGTGTGTGTGTGTGTCTTGATTAGGAATGTTCCCAATAACCTCTAAAAATTATTGAACCAAAGGTTCTTTGAATCATAGTTTGCAGTCAGAAAGAGTGACTTCAGAGATCACTGTCTTAAATCATCTTTACAGAAGGTCAAATTATGTACTTTATGGCCTTAATTTTAAATACAGCCCTTTTATAATTTCAAGTTAATGATACTTCATAAGTATCTACTTCAAATATTAAAAAACTTATCAAAGCGAGTTTTTCTAGGACATGTGGTCATTGCCAGCAGAATGCTAGATACAAATTGATATGAATACTTATTGAAAAATAACTGCATCAATCTATGTTTAACTAACAGACTAAACATATATTTTTACATTTAGAATTAACTTAATGTTTATTTTAGTATGTATACACAAATAAACAAGTTACAATATATTACTGGAAATAGATTTTCCTACATGTCAGTTATTTAAGAAAAGTTAAACTAAGTTTGGTTAATAGAGTTTATTATTCCTTTGCTAAAGATTACTTGGAGAAACATGATCACAAATTTGTCAGTTTTTCTTATTTATATTCCATGTAGACAGAAAACTCTTTAAATTACTTTAAGATATTAACATTGACTATTAACTCATATAAATGGAGGGTCTAATAAGATAATCTGATACATGTAATTCATGCATAAACATTAACATTCATGTTAGCAATTCCTATCTAATGTCCCAAATATCTACAAAATATAGCACATTTTTTCACTTCTATTATTTCTATTCTATTTCAGTACTCTCTGTTCTCAAATAGATTATTCTTAACTGGTTTCATCTTTCACCTTTATATCCATCTGAATATTTGCTGAACTGAATTGCTCAATGAGACATTCTTCAATTACATTTTGAAAATGTTTCTTCACTCTTATAACCAACTCATGTAAAATGTCTTACTTTTGAATGAAAATTTCATGAGAATATGGCCCCAGAAATCTTAGTTTTATAAGTGTAAATGGGTAAATTAATACCTCGCAATATTCATAATTAGTTTAGTTACTTAAGTAAGCTCCATGTTTTGCCTAGGCTTTGACTGTTGTTCAATTTTTATGCTTTACTTGTCATGGTATCTACTGAAAAGCAAATAGAAACATAACATTTCATTTCCTTTTGAAACTCAAAAAAGTTTCACAATCTTGCCTGTAAGGTAATTATTTTACTCAGCCTGAAATTGTAGTTACTTGTATATCACTTACTCTTCTCCTTTCCTATAAGCTTAGACTTGTGATAGTGCCCTATTCCTATTTGAATCCTTCTGTTGCTTCACCTACTGTTTTGTAAAGTATTTTCCTAAATAAATATAATTGTACTTCAGTGTGTGTACTATTTGTACACTGAAAACTAAAACTTAACTCTTTAATTAAAATATATATTTAATTTCATGATCTGACTTTGTCCTCATTATAGCCTTATTTCACCAGTGGCATATGCAATAGAAAGACACACTTTTAAAAATTGCAGGGCAACAAATTAGAAGAGAGTACATAAACTAAAAGATAAAGGAGTTAAAATTAAGAAAAAAAATCTGACTAGAATGTCAAATACACCCAATCAATTAGGTGAAATGTACTGGGATCACATATAATGTCCTAAATTTAGGTTGGAAAAAACTAGCACTGTTTAGGGATCATCAGCTTTAGGAAATCAGATTTTTAATTCATCCTGGGTGACAATTTTATACATACATATATATACATATATATCAAATAAAATTACAAATAATATATGCAAATTCTTATATATATTATATACAGCTGGAAATAAAATAATACCTAACTAGAATAAATGTATAATTAAAGTAAATCAGTCTGTATTTATAAAGCGTAAATCACTCCCAATGGAAAACAATGCTGCTGATCATAATATATCACAAAATTTATGACAAATTCCAAGCATACAATCCCAACTAAAATTCTAACCAGCTAATGTTCTACAGAAAATATGCTTTGCATATTTTTTAGGTGCCTGGAAATCATGTACCATAAGGAATGTTTGAAGAAAGTAATGATGGAGAACATAGAAATAAAAAGGAACAAAGATTTCATAAAAACAAGATTGAAGTCTTTCACATGGAAGTAACAGTTGATTTGTTTGTTTTGTCTTCAATGACAGAATTAACTTAAAAGGAAATTAGACTATTTTCAGCTTCATGTGACAATGAGGAGTGTAACTGTAGTTGATGAAATATGGCTAGTGGAAAGAGAAAGAACATGAATACCTTTTCCACTGGTGGCACATTTTAAATAATTGTAAGGTTATATTTTTAAATGGTGATATGTTCGAATAGCACTTATAAAAGCACAACTATATGACAGATTGTTCTTTTGTTAGGTGTTAACTCAGGCAAACAAGATCACTGACTTTGCCTACCAATCAGACTCCCTCCTACCTGCCTCTTACATCTAACTATGTTTCTGGGAAGAACGTTTCTATTTTAAAAGTTAGAAAATCCTAAAATTGAAACAGAGATGAGTTATAGGGTAGAAAACTAGATTGAAGTCCATGAAACTCTGAAGGCAAATGCACTGCACCTCAGTACATTTATTTAGTTACGTAGCCATTTTCACTAGATTTGCCTTACCAGGTAAAAAGGTTCATCCTAATGTAATGCAGGCTTTCTCTAGGATTGCTCCAGCCAGACTTTAAAACTTTAACAAAATATTTTTCATGCTCAGTGAAAAAGCTAATTAGCTCTATGTCTGGAATTGTTGGTAAGGATAGGTATCATATATGTTAATTTTCCAGCTAAAACACATACTTTTAATATTTTGCTTATTTTTAGTTTTTATTATCTTTGAAGAGATTCTTTCATACATTTGCTAAATGATGTCCTTTCTCTTTAAACATGGGCTATTGAATATAAATTAAGCTTCTCTTGATATAAAAAACTATCAATAAATATTTACTTATTTATTTACCATTTTTGGTCATTTTTAATGATTTCTTTTCAGTCATGGCCTATAAGCTTTTACCTCACTTGTACACAATTTATTCTATTTTCTTCTGGTTAGTTTCTCCTAGTCTGTTTGGCTTGAGTAAACCAGGTGTATGAGGTCATTTTTGAATTGCTATAAGGAAATCCCTGAGGCTGGGTAATTTATAAAGAAAAGAGGTTTAATTGGCTCATGGTTCTGCAAGCTTTACAGGAAATATGGTGCTGACATCTGCTTGACTTCTGGGGATGCTGAATATTACAATCATGGTGGAAGGCTAAGGGGTAGCAGGCATTATGTAGTGAAAGCAGGAGTGAGAGAGAGAATGAGTTGCCACACTTTTAAACAACCATATCTCACAAAAAGTCACTCACTATTACAAGGACAGCACTGAGGGGATGGTCCTAAACCATCCATGAGACATTCACCCCCTTGACCCAGTCACCTCCCACCGGGTCCTATTTCCAATGGGGAGAATACAATTCTGCTGGGGATTACAATTCAACATGCGATTTGGACAAGGACACATATCCAAATTATATTACCAGTGTACCATTACAAAATAAGGGCAAATGAATTCCTGACATTAAGCAAAATAAATGAACCTAAAGAGGAAACTGAGGCATCCATTTACCTGATTCAGTTATTTTTGTCTGTTTTTGTGTGTGTGTGTGTGTATTATTAATATGTGTATTCAGAGAATTATTCAAATCTATGTTTAAACAGTTATAAATCTGATTTCTAAATAAATAGACTATGTAATTGTTGCTCAGTTAATCTATTTAAATGTCTGGCTAATCTGAATTATTACAAACTATTCAAATAATCATCTAACATATTTACACACTACAGAAACTAAACCTTGTTTCTCAATTTAAATAATAGAATACAAATTTTAATGCCATTTTATTTTAACTCAGCATTACAGAAAATTTTATATCTAAAGCCACCTGAAGCAGAATTACCTGTGGTACTTGCTAAAAATGTGTATTTGGGAAGATTTCTGAAGAAGTTTGTCTCTATGGTAGAATCTGCAGGATTAGGGTCTAACCAATGCCTTTTAAATCATCTCCGTCAGTTGAATCTCATGTCCACTGAAGTTTGAAAGTCATTGCTAACTTGTATATGACATTGCTAGGAGGCGGTACTTCATGAACAGTATGATTAACAGTATTTGTTTAAACATGTCAGAATATATGGCTATATTTCTCTTAGTATTATAATGTGTAGGAGATGATAAAAGTCCTATATTTTATCAAGATAAACCTGGACAGAATAAGCTAATTAGATCACATTGCTAAATTGGTTATAAGATGTTTTTAATATATTCCACATATATTGTAAATATAATTCACCTTAATGGGAGAGACTTTAATGTTACACAGGCACATGTATAACAAGGTATAAATATTTGGGCCAAAAGGCCAATCTACCACATATTCCAAAACCATGAAACAGAACAAATACAGTTGGCCCTCCCTATCCGTGGTTTCTGCATCTGTGATTCAACCAACCATAGATTGAAATATTTGAAAAAAAAGAACAGTATAATAATAGAAAAAATACAAATAAAAGATGCAACAGGACAACTGTTTGTATATCATTTTCATTGTATTGTGTACTATAAGTAATCTAGAGATGATTTTAAGTAGATGGGAGGATATGCATTGGTTATATGCAAATTTCATGCCATTTAATATCAGGGACTTGCCCATTCTGAATTTTGTTAACTGTGGGAAGTCCTGGAACCCATGTCCCATAAATATGGAGGGACTACTGTACTTCAAATAAGAGGTCAGCAAATATTTTCTGGTTAGAACTCAAATATACCTTTCATGACTACCGAATTCTTCCACAGTAGTGTGAAAATGGCCATGCCCAATACATATACAAATGGTGTGGTTCGGCTCCAGTGAAACTTTTCCAGAGAAATCCACTTTACAATAGGCTGGATTTGCCTGTGGGTCATAGTTTTCTGACCCCTGCTTTAAATGATGATCCAAGGAAAACTTTCCTGAAGTAAAATTAGATAGGAAGTTAAATATTGAATAAATACCAAATAACTGGGAAAAAAGCAAAATCTACATGAAAACATGAAGAGTGAGCCATGGATTTTTATATCCCTATATCTTTCAACTCTAAAGATAACAAGTAGTTCTAAACACATACAAGCACATAAAATATTGTTATAAGTCTTGTTCTTGGGAAAACTAATATAGGCTAAGCCACAGCTTATAAACATATTATTCAGAAAACTTAAGCAAAGGACTAGCAGTGAAAAGCTTTTAATTGCAGATCTGAGACAAAAAGCAAAGGTGAGGCTAACCTTGCAATGGAGAAACGAAACAGTCACAATAAAATGAAAAGAGAAGTTAAGTTAGGAAACCCAGTCAGCTCAGTATTTGCTGTAGAAAAATAAGTTAGTATTTAAAGTTAATAAGTTACGTAGTGAAATATAAGTACATAAAATAGAATGAGGTAAACCCTAAGAAGCTTAATCTTGTCGGTGAAAATGAAGTGATGGAGAAGAGGAAAATGAGAATTTAGAAAAGGAATAAAATAGGCGTGATGTTGAGACACAAAATAAGAGAATTACATAAGTTTAATTACAAATATAAGCACTAAAACCAAATGCAAACATGCTTGAATACTGTAAGAACTGCAATTTTAAAACAGCAAAGACATAGTCCATTCAAGAAATTTTTAAATATGCCAAAACCTTGATTTTAGCTCACTGAGATTGATTTTGAATTTCTGAATTCCAAAATGTAAAAAGATTTTGTCATTTTAAGCCAGTGAGTTGGTAGCAAATATTAAAACAGTAATATAAAATTAATAAAGTCCAAATATATTCAACTTTAAAAAATACAAATTACCTTAATTCACCCATTTATAAAAAAGAGTTTTAGAATGTGTTACATAGACAATACCAATGTTCTCCTCCATACAAAAGGTACACCCAAAATCTAGTAAATTAGAACAGTTAAAAAATGAAAAGTTAGAAAAGTTATATAAGCAAGTGTAAACAGACAAAAGTAGAAATTGCAAGAGAGGATTTAGGTCTAATACCATTAAATGAGGCAATTCATGAACTTTATAATGCTGAAAGTTATATTTCTCAAAGACAATATAATAATTATGATACCGTAATTACAAATGCACCAAATATATTGGCAGAAGTTTTCATAAATCAGAACTTCCAAAGATAAATAGAAACACAATAATTACAGGACACTTAAATCTCAATATATTTTAAAGAAAACAAATAATATAAAAAGTCATAATTAGATAGACCTAAGGAATGTATAACAAATTCTCTATCATAAAAAGAAGAAAAGAAATCTACTCTAGGGGAAAAGTGATCACATATTAAGACTCAGTAAAACCTTGATAAATTCCAATGGAATAATTATAATAATTTTTACAAGTAAACTTCTCTGATCACAGTAAAAGAGAACTTAAAAAAACAATAAAATCAGAAAACAGAAGCTTTACCATCTAAAACCAGGAATTAATAGGAATAATTGATTTAAAATAATAAATAACAATTTCAGACATAATTGTGGCTTGTAGAAGAAATGTATAAATTTTTTTGAAAACTACGTTCATTTAAAATTTGATATCAAAACCTATGTGATGTAACTAAAGCAGGACCAAAATAAATTCACAGCATTACGTACTTGTTTCATTACCAAAAAAAAAAGAAAATAAATGATGTTTGCTGTTCAAAGAGTTATAAACAAAAACAAAATGAACCCAGTACAACATCAATAAAGAAGCAGTTGAATTAGAAAACTAAACTACAATAAAATTAATAATTTAAGACCTGTTTTTTGTAAAAGATTAGCACAAGATTAAATGCTCTATGAATACAATTAAAGATAAAGAGGAATAAATACCATATGAAAGAAAAGGAAACAACATAAACAAAATGAGTGCAAGAGAGCATCCTGGCCTGGAATCCCAATGAAGCCAATCTGAAGCAAATACTTATGTCACATTTTTATAGGAAGTGTAATTCCAGAGAATAAGAAATGATGAAAAGTAAGGCAAAAAAGAAAGGAGAAAAAATAAGACAATTTGTTAAGGAGATGCTTATCACTTGGAATCAATAACTGTTTGCTGGATTTTGTGAGAGCTTCTTCTGGGGAGTCCCTTTTACTACTTCAACTCAGGAAAATTCACTGGAGAGGAAGTGGCAGGGCCCATTTATAGACACAGAGCAAGCCCTTGGTGTTCCAGGACTCATCAGCTGGGAAACCCTTAGGTGGGTGTTGGGAAGTTAGAGGCACAGTGATGAAATTCTGCACTGGTGGGTTGTGAATGGCAGTGAAGTAAACCACTCTACTAGCTGAACCAAACAAATGATCAAGGTTCTTGGACCTAGGTGAGCCAAAGGAATTGTGTCTGATTCAGAGAGAAAACACTTTTTAAAATAAATTGTTAAATAATTATGCCACTTTTCACAACTCTATGGCAACATATTTACAAACTTGAAGGAACATAATTTACTAAAATCTGAGAAGGTTGAGAATATCTACACAAAACATGAATTTTGTAAGTCATTGAGGAAGTTGTAAAAGTGCTCCTTGTCCCCACCCACCCATCACCACTGCCATAAATAATGCTAGATCCTGAATTGTTCTTCTGCTGACTTCCAAGGTTGTTAACGTTGTATTGAATATTTATCATTGTGAATTTACAATTAGATGCTGTTTATCTTGTAATCCTATAATTATTCTTGAGCTTTCTAGGAAAATGTTAAGTTACTTAGAAATAGTTTGATATTTCTAGCTTTTGCTTTTAAGATTTGTTAGGTAGAATCAGAACAATTTTTATTCTAAGGCTATTTTCTACCGCTGAGAGATGTTCCTGTGTACTTTACTCATTAACTATTTACCCCTTAAGTTATGGGAAAGCCCTTTGAGTTGGGCACTTTAGCTTTTTAACCATCCTAGTGAACATAAAATTGGTGTCTCACTGAGGATTTAATTTATATTTTCTCACACTGATTTTGGGCAACTTTTAATGTGTTTACTACCCATTGATTTATTTTCTTGTTTTGCCCATTTTAAGTAAGTTCTATTTTTTTATTATTTTTTTTTTTTTGAGAAATAGTGTTGCTCTGTCACTCAGGCTGGAGTGCAATGGAGCGATCGCGATCTCGGCTCACTGCACCCTCTGTCTCCCGGGTTCAAGCGATTCTCCTACCTCAGCCTCCCGAGTAGGTGGGATTACAGGCGCCCGCCACCACACCCAGCTAATTTTTCTATTTTTAGTACGTATGGGGTTTCGTCATGTTGGACAGTCTGGTATCCAACTCATGATTTCAAGTG
The DNA here is from genome assembly GCF_000001405.40 of Homo sapiens. Lineage (NCBI taxonomy): Eukaryota > Metazoa > Chordata > Mammalia > Primates > Hominidae > Homo > Homo sapiens. Next base: position 85,710,638 of record NC_000005.10, read on the forward strand.
ATCTACCCGCCTTGGCCTCCCAAAGTTCTGGGATTACAGACATGAGCCACCGCTCCTGGCTGGTTCTATGTATTCTTATTGCTGATTTGTAAGAGTTCATCACATATTTTAGAAAGAATTTCTTCATCAGACGTGTGCTACAAGGATTATCCCTAGTTTATTGTTTGCCTATTCATATTTGTATTAATATCTTAATTAGAATTTTTAAAAAATTGATCATGTTAAACTTTTGAATTTTTTAATGATTTTTGGGGACTGTTTAATATATCTTCTCCTATTTGAGATTATGGAATTATTCTCCTGTATTTTTTTCTATATGCTTTTTAAAATCCTTTTTTTTTTTGTTTTTTTTTTTTTTTTTGAGACGGAGTTTCACTCTGTCGCTCAGGCTGGAGTGCAATGACGCAATATTGGCTCACTGCAAAATCCGCCTCCCAGGTTCACGTGATTCTCCTGCCTCAGCCTCCTGAGTAGCTGGGGTTGCAGGCATGCGCCACCACTCCCAGCTTATTTTTGTATTGTTAGTAGAGACAGGGTTTCACCATGTTGGCCAGGCTGATCTTGAACTCCTGACCTCAGGTGATATGCCCTCCTCAGCCTCGCAAAGTGCTTGGATTACTACATGTGTTAGCCACTGCGCCCTGACTAAAATCTTAGAAACACTGTGGGAGTTTTATCTGATAATATTTTCCTCTACTGTTAAGAATTCAGGAGTCAAATCTATAACCCATCTCTAGCAAGTTGTCCAAGATCTATTGGCATATACTTTGTACATTGAATTTATCCATAACTTTACACTTAAACTCTTTTCCCTGACCTAATTTTCCGTAACCTGTTCTAAATTCTCCTCAATCAAAATGCTGCTATTTTAATCTTTTATATTTAATTATGTTTTAAGAGACAAAAACCTATTTAGATGTGATATACAATGATAAATAATCAAAGTAACTAAAGGTTGATATGATATTTAATCTAGTAAACTTACAGAAATTTGATTCTCAAATTATACCTATACTGCATTTTCAGGATAAAAAATGTCAAAGAATATATTGATGTAGGGATATAAAGTACATTGACGTGGTATGTATAATTCTAATTGTGTAAACCATCAAAGAGTATAAATAATAATATGATTATAGTGGTTAAATATGTTGGTGGATACTGAGTGATTTTTATCAATTTTCAGATAAATATATAATTCTCTATTATATATTTTACATAATTAATTATACAGTGTACATGTATTACTTGCTTAAATGTAATTTACATTTAAAATTAAAAATGTAAAATGTATCAGAAAAAAATTTATTCTTACAAATAACCTTAACTTCGAAGAAAATTGACTCTATTGAATTTGCTTCCTTGGGAATTTAATCAGGTCTTACTAAATGGGACTATTCATTTTTTTACCTCTCTATGATCCAGAACTAATTTACACTTGAGAGAAAAGCTAATGTACAATTTTTTTAAATGATAAATAAAATCATTTGATTGGCTTTGGGAACAATATTTATGTGTTCCTCAGCCATTTTTATTCATAGACAGATAACTTTACATAGAACCAAATGTTATTTTCATTTTCTCAATTTAATAGTAGAAAAATAAGCTATAATTATGGTATTTTTATGTGCCCAGCAAAAATCACCAAAATAATGTCATTTATAATGTGATTCAAAGGATTAAACATTTAGAGAAACAGAGAAATACAATACAACATATTACCTTTTCTAGTATTTTTTTTCTCTTTTTGTTGTAACCATTAATATCTCAATTCTAGGCTGAAAATATCCTTTAATGAGTTAATGTTGGGTTGTTTATAACTCTATAGTAGAATGAAGTATACAATTTTAATTAATATAACAAAAATATAGCAACTATTATGTGCCTGGTATTGATTAGAAAACAATATAGAGAATATAAGTTCAATAAACAATGTATATGTCCTCAAAGACCTAACTTTTAATTGGAAGGAGTGACATAATAGGAGTAACAAAAAATTATAAGGAAATACAGTCAATGCAGAAATACGTTTTGCCTTGGTCCAGGGGAAACTTCATGGAGAATATAACATTCTTTTCTGCATTCTAGAAAACAATGAAGGTTTGTTGAGATACAGAAATTGAAAAAAGGGCCAAAAGGCAAAAGTAAAATCAAGAAAAAAAATACACAGGGATAGGAAAGTTAGAATTATATTGAGTAAGTGACAATGTTTCTATTTGGAGTTGTGGTAGGTGATAAAATAATAAACTAAGAAAGAAGGACCTAAAATACTAAACCAAAACACATCACAACCAACCAAACAACTAAAAGAAACAACACTATTTGAAAAATTCGAATGAATAAAATGAGCATGTTTAGGCCTATGTTTCAGAAAGATTAGCTTGTCAAAACAATATAGGTAATTATCCATTTAGTTCTAAATATGACTGTTACAGGTTTTATAAAGATTTTCACATGCATCGATGTTTTCAGTTGAGGAAATCAAAGGAAGGAGACTTTAAATAATTGGCTCATATTTTAAGACTTAGCATATGAGGCAAAAGGATTCAAATCAGGGAATATAACCACAGCTTGAAGTCTTAACCACTAAGTTATATAGTCTTCAGGTGTGGGAGAGGGTGAGTTTTTAAGACACTGTGAAGGCAAACTGGAGGCTAGGTCAGTTAAGATGCCAATTTCAGAGTTCAATCAACGTAAATTGATATTTGAAATAGAACTGAACTCTTGAGCTCTGAAAGAAGATATTTATCCAGTATGGAAATAGGAAGAGCAGAACTTGGTGACTGATAGTCAATGTGAAATGAAAGGAAGCTTAAAAAGATTTTGTATCAGATAGTAGTGAATGCTGCAAGGAATTTGAGAATAATGAGAAGGACATTGAATTTGTGATAAAGTTATTGCTACTCTGAGAGGTATTTTTCAGTGGACAAAGTGAAAAACAGATTGCAAGAAACTGAAAAGAAGGAAAGAAATAGTATAAGCAAAAATGTTTTATGTCTCAAGTTACCAGAGTGTAATGAAAGAAAGATGGAAAGAAAGACGGAATAAAGTTAAACAATCAAAAAAAAAATTATTCTTAGGAGAATTGTACCTTCATGTTTGTTTCTGTGTTTTCCACTTAGTGGAAAACTTCATAATAAAGTTTTTATCCAGTGGAACAGATATATTCTATGAGGAGGACTGTACTCCTATACACTTAAAATTTATAATAGGATTAGTAGCAAAATTGTATCACCAAGCAAGTCATAGTTTCAACCATTATGCTAATTTTACTGTTTTTCTTAAATGTTTTTAAAACAATTGATGAATGCTATTACTTGTCTGCAAGGAAGTGCTGGCATTTTACTAGAAGAAAATGAGTTCCAAGAAAACCCAAAAGTAAACAGTCATGATGAATTGATATATTCTTTATTTTAAAGGCTTCTTTTCATTTTTAGTTGCCTACATAAAGAATTGAGGTTTTTAAAAAGTAATACAGTTTCGAGTTTGAAGGATGAAATTAAAATGATAATCAATACATTGTAGTTATTTGTAAATACATTATGATTTTTAGAAGTTCTGTCACCTGAACAGATACAAGCATCATGGATTTGGAGAACAAATAGTGAAACCAAGAAAATAAAGATAAAAGAGTGCCCTTGGCAGGCAAAATTATATATTATGTCTGGAGGGATGGGAACAAAAATCCAAGTCAGAGATTTTAGTTTTCAAAATATGGTGCTGAATTCCCTTCAGTTGGTATGAGTAAGAAGGAAGGAGAGAAAAAAGTACTGACTTTGGAGTTTTTCCTAATATCTAAATGACTCCACTCTTACTAATAAGCCATCATCTTTTATTCAGTACCCCAAGCAAGAACGGCTTATCATTGCCTATTACCAGTACCATTCTTGCTATATCAGTATAGGATAAGTAGTTGTTGACTTGATATGAAAAATTAAAAGATACTTGCTAAGTAATGTAAGTGTGAGCTCACTATATTTGGGATTTCTCATCTTCATATTGCCGTTTTATTGCTTGCTAAATAGAATCTGTAGCACTTAACCTCTCTGTGTGAATCTGTTCCTTTATGTGTCAAATAGGTATAATAATACTTATCCTTCTCACAAGGGTGTTTTAAAGATTAATTAGCTAAGTGCTTGGAAGATAGAAAGGCTATATAAATGCTAAATATTCATATTCATTAAGACTCTGTCTTAAAATAATAAAATCAAAGTAATTCCAAAGTAATTCATAATTAAAATAGAAAATATGGGCAAGTTCTCTGCTTTTTATGGCACAAGATGTCCTTGTGCTGATACTTTTATCTTTTCTTCTTCCTCTATTCTCATATTCTCATCCTCTCTTTCTCTCAAAGCCATTTTCCCTGTCTTATTTAAAGACATGAGTAAATAGCAGAGCTACAATTCTTACTCTAAACTTCATCTGTCTTTGTTCTGTAGGTTTAAATCAAATAATTAATGTTACTTTAGGGTATTTAACTTAGCTGAATGATGCTGTATTAAATACTTCAAGAACTCCACATTATAGAATGGTATTATATTAAATATAATTGAAAGTGATTAAGGTATCTGTCACTGATGGCAAATCATAATAGTAATATGTGAAACCATGTCAAGGATAAGTGAGAACAAATTAGAGAAGAAATATTTTTTAATGTACTGGGGCAAAAAATAATGAAAATGGCTCAAAGTCAAAATCTTGTAATAACTAATGAGAACTAAAAAAGATCAACAGATCTATTTGATTTAGACTGTATTTTACAGAATGTTCCTAAAATACAATATGACAATCTTAAATAATTACTAAGATTCTTTATATCATGGCATTTTAGCAGTCTGCAACAAAAATAATGGGATTTAAATTGCGTTTTCAAAATAGAGATTGGTATCATATTTTGCCTAGATTGACTTAGATTTGTTGAAGCTTTGTAAGTGCAAAGCAAAATTTTGAAGAAGAGAAACAGAACAGTATAATTGGTAAAGAGATTTACACTGCAAATTGCAATTTAAAATTAACTTACATATTGAGAATATTATTTATTTCTCCACTGACCTTTTCTGGGATATTTTGATTTCTGTTGGGCAGTTATTATGCTTGTTTTGTTTTAATATGCCATAAAAATAAAAGAACATTCAAATGGAGACAACCAAAAATGCATATTGCGTGTCTACATAAGGCATACACCACTTTTTTTTTTTAATAAGGAACAAAATAGAGAACATGTGCATGTAGTCTCTAAAGTCTGGGGAACCAGATGGCATGTATGTTCAGGATCAGGCTTTTCTTTCACCTGCTTTTATTTGGGTATGTATATATCTTTTTAGTCAAAATAAGTTAAAGAAAATCTATAATTCCAGAGGACTATTCGGTCTGAATAAAATCTAAGGTTAATTCTGCTGCTGACACAAAGAACATTAAATGCTTTGGTTAGGCATTAAGTTGCTTGACTTAAATAATTTATCAAGTACTTATATCTTGGGCATTTTCCAAAATTTTGTTTTGTACCCTTTATCTTTTATCAGAAATCTCACTTACTCGGTTGATATGATTCTCAAATCTGTATTTCCACACAAAGTCAAAGTGCTTTCTTTAGGTCCTGACCTGTTTCCATCTGTGTTTTGAGTATTTCCACCAAAATATACAATTGACACTTATAACAATTTTATATTTTGATGTTTGATGTTTGTCAATAAGCAAAAGAAACTGAATCTGACAAAAGTATAAGAAGAATAAAAAGGATTGGAACAAAATCAGTAGAAACAGACTTTGGAAAGTGCAGAAATCAAAGCAATTTTAGGTAGTTGGTAGCAGGACTTCATGGATAATGTCGTAAGCATTTCTGCATTACAGTGGGTCAGTGTCACCTGTTTTTTTCTTCTAGCCTCACCAACATGAGAGGCAAATTCCCAAACAAGAGTGAGTCATTAGTTGTTTTGGAAGGCAGAGCAAGTCAATGCTAAGTGTCACTAAAACTGTCCAAAACAGGAAAGGTGTAATATCCCAAATTTGTTACCCAAAGGTGGAGGAAGAATACTGGCAAGTATAAAGTTTAAAACGACAGATTTTCTTACGCAGATAGTATCACCATTTCAAAATCAAATCAAGCTCTCATGTCTCTGGAAGCGGACCTGTGACTCTGTCCCTTAGCTCAGATATTAGCCTCAACATTTACCAATAACGTTAAATATTAACTTCATTGTCAAGCTCACCTCATCATAGCCATTAATAATCAATCATTTCTGACATTTATTACAAAATTCTACATACTGTTCAGTTTAATTTGTATACCTTTTATTTGAAATAATTTTAGGCTCCCATAGTAGTTGCAATAATTGTAGAGTTCTGTGTACCTTTCACCTAGTTATATTAGCAGCCAATTCATTTAATGTCAGACTGCACATCTTGACCCAAGTTTGGACCGTAGCTAGAATGTTCATTTAGTTTTCAGTCTTTACAGTACTTTTCTGGTCAGCTCTGAATGTACCGTTCAAAGGCCAATCTGAAACGTGGGTGGCATTCTACAATGTTCAGTTCCCAAAAAAAATTTGCTGTTTATTCTAAATGATTTCACACAGAGGTCACAGAAGAGTCTGCCCAGGACTTTATATAAGGGTTTCAAAAATCTTTTTCTCCAGCTCCCTCTTTATAATTTTCTCATCACTCTAGTCCTGCCCAGGGGGTTTCCACCTCTTTGCTGTCTTTTGCGTAGTGCAGAGGAGCCATGGTCTGCAGAGCTCCACCCCATCATCTCTGTAGTCACAGCCCTGGTGGTTAGTAAAGGGCAGGGATACTTGACTTCAGGGTATCTTCCCTGGCTGTATCTCTCAGAGAATGGAGCAGTGCTTCTTGTTCTTTGATTTTCTCAGTAGAAGGTGGTGATTGCACACAGCACACTTTTCCACAATTTTCTCAGCACTTACAAGAATGGATAGGTGCATACATGCTTTTGTGCAATTTGCGTAGATAGAAGAGGTAGAGTCAAATAATTCCAGCCTTAGAAAGTATCCTTTTACTGGTATTTGAATAGAGTGATTAAGATTTTCTTAAAATTTCAATTTTATTTTTAGAAAATCTACACCTGTTTGCAGTTCAGAGTTGTTGTAACACCCAGGCTAGGGCATATAGGAGAAAAAAGCAACAAAAGAAAACCACCTCCAGGCAACCAGCTAGGTTGTCTCCAAGGATTGTAGCAAGTTCTCCTGTCCACCTTTCAGAATCATTTCATAATAACATTTTTTAAAAATTATTTTTTAAAATACATCATAGTGGGAAGAAAAAGGTGTTATGTACTACTGCATTATGTCTGGAATGAGAAGGTCTATAATATAGCTTAAATTATATAATAAAAGTGTCAGTACAACAGAGTCGTAATTTGGAAAGAGCTTAAGATGGAAAATAAAGCTAATTTTGAAATGAAATAGATGAAAAAGTTTAAATTAGAAGAATTAAACAAAGGAGTACCACTGTATTTTCTGGACTCAAAGCAAACACAAAAAATTCTCATTACCTAATAAAAGTCAATAGATTATTTAAGATCAATGTACTTTCTAAATTTCAGAGCTCTGAAATATATTTATTATTGGCATTTCTTAGGGTTAACGGAAACAAAACCCAGTTTTGTTTCTAATTTTAATTTGTAGCAGAAAATCAGCTCTAAAACCTCATGGAACATCTACTCTTCATAGATCAGAAAGTGAAATTTATAAAAAGATGTACATGTGGTTTTCAAAAATATATAGGTCAGATGTCTCTTATCCAATTAAAAAACAAAATCTAAATGTTGTGGCTGAGTGCAGTGGCTCACTCCTGTAACCACAGCACTTTGGGAGGCCTAGGCGGGAGAATTTGTTGAGCCCATTAGTTCGAGGCCAGCCTGGGCAACCTACAGAGACCCGTTCTTTACAAAAGTAACATAAAAATATCTGTCAGTTGTGATGGGGCCTGCCTGTGGTCTCTGCTACTCAGGAGGCTGAGGTGGGAGGACTGCTTGAGCCTGGGAGGTCAAGGCTGCAGTGAGCCATGATTGTGCCACTGCACTCTAGCCTGGATGAGACAGCAAGACCTTGTCTCTAAAGAAAATTTCAAAAAAAGAAAAAACGTAAAGCTGTCTTGTAAATGACTTTTGTATTTGGTTTTAGTTCTTGATAAAATATATGAATAAAATGATAATTTACTGTTTGAGGAGAAAGCCAGCATTATAAATAAAATGCATATAACTCCAATAGAGCTGCATCTTACCCTATGGCTAATTTATAAAATAAACATATGAGGCAAAAATTATTTTGAAAAATAACTTGAAAGTCTCTGGGAAACTCCAGAAGTAATATCCTTGAGTGTACACAATGGGAGTAGATTATTTTTCAAATGGAAAGAGAGGATGGTTGTCCTAAATAAGCAGGCAGATGTTTCTGCTAAGGTAAAAGAAGAGAGAATATAAAGTGTAGAATGGTAGATTTTATGATAGAAATATTTATATATTGTTTTATTTGATTTTTTTCATAGTTTCAGTGAGGTAGGAAGTCAAGTACTCAACTGAGAGTGAAAAGGAAGAAGAAAGTATTGGAAAGTTTAGGAGAAGAAGAGATAAAATAATAGCTTATGAGACAGGGAACTTGAACTGACACAGAAAAAGTAGTAGAATTGCAGAGTAGCCCTAAAGATCCAGTAATTTAAGTGTTCATGAATTTAAAATGAAAACAACCATTGCATTTGTATGTGTGTTTGTGTTTATGTACGTCTGTGTGTGTGTCTGTGTATTAGTGTGTGTGTGTGTATGTTTCCAAACTCTTTGTGATTCTCAGATATATATTTGGAAAAAGAAATGGATTTAACAAGTGTTGATGATTTCCTGGGCTAATAACATAAAGGAAGAGCAAGAGAATTGAAAATTTTTTCAATTTATTAATTAGAATGATGGAACATGGAATTCAAGACAGAAGAGGGGAAGGACGAGTAAAAAGGGAGTATTCAGGAGAATGTGTCATTGAGTTGATACATGAGAGGTTTAGTATGGTCAGATCAATGCATGGCCAAGGAAACTAGACAGAATAAGCAGGAAAAAATGAAAATGTTCATCATAGACATGAATGTAAGGTTATGATGGAGGGTTCTCTATAACAACAATATCTAAAGCTGCACTTTCCAATAAAACTTTTTGGGTTGAAGGATATGTTTTATATCTGCACTACACAAGTCAATTAGCCATTGAGCATAGGAATGCAGCACTGGGACTAAGAAACAATATTTTCACAATTCCTTTTATAAAACAGATTTATTGAGGTATAGTTGACATGCAATAAACTGCAGATGTTTAGAGTATACAATTTAATATATTTTGATATCGGTATGCAGCCCTAAAGCCATTATCACCATGATTAAGATAACTAACATAACACATCACCTCCAAGTTTCTTCTGCCATTTGGAGTCCCACCTTTCAACTTCCTCCTTCATCTGCCCATTCCCAGACAACCACTGATCTGCTTTCTGTCATTCTAGAATAGTTGCATATTCTGAACTTTTTACAAATGGGATTCTGCAGTATGTTTTCTTTTTTGTTATTATTGTTCTGGCTTCTTTCAATGAGCATTAAAATTTTGAGATTCATTCACATCACGTCTATCAAAAGGTTATTCCTTTTAGTTGGTAAGTAGCATTACATTATATGGATATAACACTTTAAAAATCATCAATGAACACCCAGTTTGTTTTCAGGATGTGGCTATTACAAATACTACCAAGTAAACTTTTTTTTATATAATCTTTGTGTGGATATATGCTTTCATATATTTTGGGGAAGTAGCTATTAGTAGAATAACTGGATCAAAATGGTAGGTGTACATTTACTTTTAAGAAAGCTGCCAAATTTCTCCAAAGTTGCATTGCCCTTTTGTAGTCTCTCAAGGATATGAGAGTTCCATTTGTTCCATTGCCAACATTTGATGTAGCAAGTCTCTTTATTTTTAGACCTGCACATATGTTCGTAGTGGCATTTGATTTTTCTTAAATTGCATTTCTTTATAACTAATGATATTGTCATTTTATGTCCTTATTTACAATAAATGTCTTCTAATGAAAGTCTATAAATATATTTTCCTATGTTCTTTTCTAGAAGTTTAACATTATTTTTCTATTTTATTTACAACTATGTTTTTGAGCTAATTTTATACATTTTGTGAGGAATTTATCAATTTATTTTGCACATGCACAACATTTTTCTGCATCCTTTCTTGAAATGATTGTCCTTTTCCTACAGAATTACTCTAACATTTGCCAAAAACAATAGACCACATATTCATGGCTTATTTTTTTTATCTCTTTGCCTAACTTTATGCCAATGATACGTTGTTGTGTAAATGTACATTAACAAAATTTTGAAATAAAGGACTTATATTTAAAAGTTATTTTCATTATACTAGGCAATTTCCATTTCAATATACATTTTAAAATATACCTGTCAGTTTCTACTAAAAAGACTGCTTGGATTTCTATCAAGATTGCTTTGAATTTATACATCATTTTGCAAAACATTGACTGACAAGCACAAGGGGCCAAGGAACTGCCTCCCCTAGCCAAGTGCAGCCATGAGGGACCGTGCCGTGAGGCACAGGGCATTCCAGCCCAGATGCTATGTTTTTCCCATTGTCTTTGCAACTGGCAGACCAGGAGATTCCCTTAGGTGCCTACACCACCAGGGCCCTGGGTTTCAAACACAAAACTGGGCAGCCATTTTGGCAGACACTGAGGTAGTGTCTCATACCCAGTAGTGTGATATCTAAAGCACATAGCCCAGAGGTGCCTGAAATGCCAGCGAGACAGAAACATTCACTCCCCTGGAAAGGGGGCTGAAGCAAGGGAGCCGAGTGGTCTAGTGCAGTGGATCCCATCACCACAGAGCTCAGCAAGCTAAAATCCACTACCTTGAAATTCTCACTGCCAGCACAGTCTGAAGTCGACCTGGGACGCTCGAGCTTGTTGGGAGGTGGGGGGGGCGGGGGGAGGGGGCGGCGTCCACCATTACTGAGGCTTGAGTAGGTGGTTTTCCCCTCACAGCATAAACAAAGCTGCCAGGAAGTTCAAACTGGACAGAGCCCACCGCAGTGCAGCAAAGCCACAGTAGCCAGACTGCCTCTCTGGATTTCTCCTCTCTGGGCAGGGTATCTCTGAAAGAAAGGCAGCAGCCCCAGTCAGGGGCTTATAGATAAAACTCCCAACTCCCTGGGACAGAGCACCTGGGTGAAGGTCGGCTGTGGGTGCAACTTCAGCAGACTTAAACGTTCCTGCCTGCAGGCTCAGAAGAGAGCAGTGGATCTCCCAGCACAGCGTTCGAGCTCTGCTAAGGGACAGACTGCCTCCTCAAGTGGATTCCTGACTCCCGTGCCTCCTGACTGGAAGACACCTCCCAGCAGGGGTTGACAGACACCTCATGTAGGAGAGCTCCGGCTGGCATCTGGCAGGTGCCCCCTCTGGGTTGAAGCTTCCAGAGGAAGGAACAAGATACAATCTTTGCTGTTCTGCAGTCTCCGCTGGTAATACGCAGGCAAAAGGGTCTGAAGTAGACCCCCAGCAAACTCCAGCAGACCTGCGTCAGAGGGGCCTGACCGTTAGAAGGAAAACTGACAAACAGAAAGGAATGGCATCAACATCAACAAAAATGACTTCCACACAAAAACCCCATCCGAAGGTCACCAACATCAAAGACAGAAAGTAGATAAAGCCATGAGATTAAAAGGCTGGAAATTCCAAAAGCCAGAAACCCTCTTTTCCTCCAAAGGATCATAACTTTTCACCAGTAAGGGAACAAAACTAGATGGAGAATGAGTTTGACGAACTGACAGAAGTAGGCTTCAGTGGTGTGTAATAAAAACTCCTCTGAGCTAAAGGATCATGTTCTAACCTAAAGCAAGGAAGCTAAGAACCTTGAAAAAAGGTTAGAAAAATTGCTAACTAGAATAACCAGTTTAGAGAAGAACATAAATGACCCGATGGAGCCAAAAAACATACCACTAGAAGATCGTGAAGCTTGAACAAGTATCAATATACAAATTGATCAATAGGAAGAAAGGATATCAGAGACTGAAGATCAAATTAATGAAATACAGTGAGAAGAGAAGATTAGAAGAAAAAAAAAGAATGAAAAGAAACAAACAAAGCCTCAAAGAAATATGGGACTATGTGAAAAGACCAAACCTACATTTGATTGGTGTACCTGAAAGTGATGTGGAGAATGGAACCCAGTTGGAAAACACACTCTTCAGGATATTATTCAGGAGAACTTCCCCAACCTAGCAAGACAGGCCAACATTCAAATTCAAGAAATACAGACACCACCACAAAGATACTCCCCGAGAAGAGCAACCCCAAGACACATAATCTTCAGATTCACCAAGGTTGAAATGAAGGAAAAAAATGTACAGGGCAGCCAGAGAGAAAGGTCAGGTTACCCACAAAGGGAAGTCCATCAGACTAACACCAGATCTCTCTGTGGGAATCCTACAAGCCAGGAGAGAGTGGGGACCAATATTCAACATTCTTAAAGAAAAGAATTTTCAACCCAGAATTTCATATGCAGCCAAACAAGACTTCATAAGAGAAGGAAAAATAAAACCTGTAGAGACAAGCAAATGCTGAGAGATTTTGTCACCACCAGGCCTGCCTTACAAGAGCTCCTGGAGGAAGCACTAAATATTGAAAAGAAAAGCCGGTAGCAGCCACTGCAAAAACATACCAAATTGTAAAGACGATTGACACTATGAAGAAACTGCATCAACTAATGGGAAAAATAACCAGCTAGCATCATAAGGACAGGATCAAATTTATACATGACCATATTAGTCTTAAATATAAATGGGCTAAATGCCCCAATTAAAAGACACAGAATGACAAATTGGGTAAAAAGTAAAGACCCACTGGTATGCTGTAATCAAGAGACCCATCTCATGTGCAAAAGCACACATAGGCTCAAAATAAAGGGATGGAGGAAGATTTACCAAGCAAACGGAAAGCAAAAAAAAGCAGGAGTTGTAATTCTAGTCTCAGATAAAAGACTTCAAACCAAGAAAGATAAAAAAAGACAAAGAAGGGCATTACATAATGGTAAAAGGATCAATGCAACAAGAAGAGCTAACTATCCTAAATATATATGCACCCAATACCAGAGCACCCAGATTCATAATGCAAGTTCTTAGTAACCTACAAAGAGATTTAGACTCCCACACAATAATAGTGGGAGATTTTAATACCCCACTGTCAATATTAGACAGATCAACAAAACAGAAAATTAACAAAGATATCCAGGACTTGAACTCAGCTCTGGACCAAGCCAACGTAGTAGACATCTACAAAACTCTCCACCTCAAATCAACAGAATATACATTTTTCTTAGCACCACATAGCACATATTCTAAAATTGACCACATAATTCAAAATAAAACACTCCTCAGCATATGCAAAAGAACAGAAATCATAACAAACAGTCTCTCAGACCACAGTGCAATCAAATTAGAACTCAGGATTAAGAAATTCACTCAACTGCACAGCTACATGGAAACTGAACAAACTGCTCCTGGATGACTACTGGGTAAATAATGAAATTAAGTCAGAAATAAATAAGTTCTTTGAAACCAATGAGAACAAAGACACAATGTACCAGAATCTCTGGGACAAAGCTAAAGCAGTTTGTAGAGGGAAATTTATAACACTAAATGCCTACAAGAAAAACTGGGAAATATCTGAAATCAACACCTAAAATCACAATTAAAAGAATTAGAGAAGAAGGAGCAAACAAATTCAAAAGTTAGCAGACGACAAGAAATAACTAAGATCAGGGCAGAACTGAAGGAGATAGAGACACAAAAAATCCTTGGAAAAAATGAATAAATCCAGGGGCTGTTTTTTAAAAAAGATCAACAAAATAGACCACTAGCCAGACTAATAAAGAAGAAAAGAGAGAAGAATCAAATAGATGCAATAAAAAATGATAAAGGGGATATCACCACTGATCCCACAGAAATACAAATTGCCATCAGAGAATACTCTACACAAATAAACACCTCTACACAAATAAACTAGAAAATGTAGAAGAAATTGATAAATTCCTGGACACATACACCCTCCCAAGATTAATCCAGGAAGAAGTCAAATCTCTGAATAGACCAATAACAAGTTCTGTAGTTGAGGCAGTAATTAACAGCTAACTAACCAAAATGAGCCCAGGACCAGACAGATTCACAGCCAAATTCTACCAGAAGTACATTGAGGAGCTGGTACCATTCCTTCTGAAACTATTACAAGCAAAAGAAAAAGAGTGACTCCTCCCTAATTCATTTTATGAGGCCAGAATCATCCTGATACCAAAACCCAGCAGAAACACAACAAAAAAAGGAACATTTCAGGTCAATATCCCTGATGAACATCGAAGTGAACATTCTCAATAAAATACTGGCAAATCGAATCCAGTAGCATATCAAAAACATTATACGCCACAATCAAGTGGGCTTCATCCTTGGGATGGAAGCCTGGTTCAACATATGCAAAACAATAAAAGTAATCCATCACATAAACAGAACCAACGACAAAAACCACATGATTATCTCAATAGATGCAGAAAAGACCTTCAATAAAATTAAACACCACTTCATGCTAAAACTCTCAATAAACTAGGTAATGATGGAACGTATCTCAAAATAATAAAAGCTATTTATGACAAACCCACAGCCAATATCATACTGAATAGGCAAAAGCTGCAAGCATTCCCTTTGAAAACCAAGACAAGGAATCCCTCTGTCATCACTCCTATTCAACATAGTATTGGAAGTTCTGGCCAGGGAAATCAGGCCAAAGAAATAAAGCATATTCAAATAGGAAGAGAGGAAGTCAAATTGTTTCTGTTTGCAGATGACATGATTGTATATTTAGAAAACCCCATCAGCTCAGCCCAAAATCTCCTTAAGCTGATAAGGAACTCCAGCAAAGACTCAGGATACAAAATTGATGTGCAAAAATTCAAGAATTCCTATACACTAATAATACACAGACAGCCAAATCGTGAGTGAACTCCCATTCACAATTGCTACAAAGAGAATAAAATACCTAGGAATACAATTACAAGGGATGTGAAAAACCTCTTCAAGGAGAACTACAAACCACTGCTCAAGGAACTAAGAGAGGACACAAACAAATGGAATATAATTCCATGCGGTTAGATAGGAAGAATCAATATTGTGAAAATGGCCAGACTGCCCAAAGTAATTTATAGATTCAATGCTATCCCGAGGTACCACTGACTTTCTCCACAGAATTAGAGAAAACTACTTTAAATTTCACGTGGAAGCAATAAAGAGCCCATATAGCCAAGAAAATCCTCAGCAAATTGAACAAAGCTGGAGGCATCATGCTACCTGACTTCAAAATACACTACAAGACTACAGTAACCAAAACAACAAGGCACTGGTAGCAAAACAGATATAGAGACCAATGGAACAGAACAGAGGCCTCAGAAATAATGCCACACATCTACAATCTTCTGACCTTTGACAAACCTGACAAAAACAAGCAATGGGGTAAGGATCCCCTATTTAATGAATGGTGTTGGGAAAACTGGCTAACCATATGCAGAAAACTGAAACTGGACCCTTTCCTTACACCTTATACAAAAATTAACTCAAGATGGATTAAAGACTTAAACATAACACCTAAAACCATAAAAACCCTAGAAGAAAACCTAGACAATACCATTCAGGACATAAGCATGGGCAAAGAGTTCATGACTAAAACACCAAAAGCAATGGCAACAAAAGCCAAAGTTGACAAAAGGGATCTAATTAAACTAAAGAGATTCTGCACAGCAAAAGAAACTATCATCAGAGTGAACAGGCAGCCTACAGAATGAGAGAAAATTTTTGCAATTTATCCATCTGACAAAGGGCTAATATCCAGAATCTACAAGAAACTTAAACAAATTTACAAGAAAAAAACAAACAACCTCATCAAAAAGTGGGTGAAGGATATGAACAGGCACTTCTCAAAAGGAGACATTTATGTGGCCAACAAACATATGAGGAAAAGCTCATCATTACTGGTCATTAGAAAAATGCAAATCAAAACAGCAATGAGATACCATCTCACGCCAGTTAGAATGGCCATCATTAAAAACTCAGGAAACAGCAGATGCTGGAGAGGATGTGGAGAAATAAAAACACTTTTACACTGTTGGTGGGAGTGTAAATTAGTTCAACCATTGTGGAAGACAGTGTGGAGATTCCTCAGGGATCCAGAACCAGAAATACCATTTGACCAGCAATCCTATTACTGGGTATATACCAAAAGGATTATAAATCATTCTACTATAAAGACACATGCACACGTACGTTTATTGCAGCACTGTTTGCAATAGCAAAGACTTGGAACCAACCCAAATGCCCATCAGTGATAGACTGGATAAAGAAAATGTGGTGCATATACACCACGGAATACTATGCAGCCATAAAAAGGATGAGCTCATGTTCTTTGCAGTGACATGGATGAAGCTGGAAACATCATTCTCAGCAGACTAACAGAGGAACAGAAAACCAAACACTGCATGTTTGCACTCATAAGTGGGAGTTGAACAGTAAGAACACATGGACACAGGGAGGGGAACATCACACACTGGGATCTGTTGGGAGTGGGGGCTAGAGGAAGGAGATAGCATTAGGAGAAATACCTAATGTGAATGACGGGTTGATGGGTGCAGCAAACCACCATGACATGTGTATACCTATGTAACAAACCTTCACGTTCAGCACATGTATCCCAGAACTTAAAGTATAATAAATAAAACAAAGAAAAAAAAATTAAAAAGGGAGCCAGGAACATAGACAGTTCTCAAAAGAAGATATGCAAGTGGCCAACAAACATATGCAAACATGCAAATTGGGATTCAAATTAAAACGACGATGAGATACTATCTCACACAAGTCAGAATAATTATCAAAAAGTCAAAAATAACAGATGTTGGCGAGGTTGCAGGTAAAAGGGAATGCTTATATATTGTTGGTAGGATTTTACATTAGTCAGCTACTTTGGAAAGTAGTTTGGGGATTTCTCAACAACCTAAAAATAAAATTACCACTTGACCCCACAATCCTATTACTGGGTATATACCCAAAGGGAAATAAATTATTCTACCAAGAAGATGCCTGTAATCACATGTAATTCAAAGTATAGAGGAGGATGTATGTAGGCTATATGCAAATACTACATTTTATGTAAGGAACTTGAGCACCTGAGTATTTTGATCTTCATGGGTTGCAGGGGAGCATCCTGGAATAAGCCCTGCAGATATTTAAGGACTACTTTAATATTGAATGGCATACTGAAAACTTGTGAAAACAGTAGATTTTAGGGGCTCTTAACAGACACACAAGAAAGCAACTGTGTGAAATGATGAATATCTTAATTGGCTCTAGTGTAATTATTTTGCTATATATATGACATCAAAACATCATGTTGTACACCTTAGATGTATATAATTATAAAAAAATTATATGGCTCCCTTTATGAGGACATCTGTGATTATATTTTGAACCCGCATGAATAATCTAGGCAATAATTATTTTTTGTTTCCTTTATCAGGTAACACTCACCAATTCTGCATATTAGGATATGAATAACTTTTGGGATGGTAGCTATTTTCACATACCATATTTGAAAAATTAGAGTTTATTTTAATCGAACACAACACTAATTCATAATCTATGTAGTAGTGCCTCTGAACCTCCCAAGTAATCATCCACATCACACATGAGGCTGAGCTTCTTATAAACTGAAGGAGTGTTGACAGTTTGGCATTTTTTCTTCTTGCTGTATCTTATGTAGTGCACATCTTTTATATAAAGTGTTGAGCTTAGTTCTCCCTTGTGGCTTAAAGAATTGTTTTAGATCATAAGCTGCTAACAGGAAGAAACACAGAATCTAGTGCTTTTCTGGGAGTGAATACTTCAATATGAGGTACAGTGTGACATGCCATAAATATATTTTTTATTATGATTTCATGAATAATGAACCACTCATGCCTCTTTGCAAATAAATAGGTATAATATACAACAAGCCTGTCAGATCAGGAACTGCTCATCCGTGCTGTTGTAAATTGCTTTGGAGGGTAAACTGTTTTTAGATTCCAACACAGTAAGAAAATGACAGAGAAGATCTCAATTGAGTATGAAAAATAAGAAGTATGAGATTTAAAATTATAAACAACAATTAATTTTGAAATTTCTCTCCATTGGTTTCATAAGAAGCCATATGAATAATTGCTATAATAATGTAATGATGAATTTTTAGGAATTCATGGTTGAAAGCAAGGTTAGACCATATCTAAAATTATATTTTAATAGAAATAGTGTACTTATTTTGAAATATGATGAGAGAGAAAAAGAGAGAGTGGGGAGGAGAAAGGAAGGAAGGAAAGGGGAAGGAAGAAAAAGAAATAGGGAAAAGATAAGAGTTTTACTTATTTCAGATATATTTACTTCTAGTAAGTCAATTGTCTGCTTAGCATCAGTGACTGGTAATATTTACAGACATGACTTTTTAATGATCACCATTCTAACTGGTGTGAGATGATATCTCATTGTGGTTTTGATTTGCATTGGTGATGATGAGCATTTTTTCATGTGTCTGTTGTCTGCATATATGTCTTCTTTTGAGAAGTGTCTGTTCATATCCTTTGACCACTTTTTGATGGGGTTGTTTGATTTTCTCTTGTAAATTTAAGTTCTTTGTAGATTCTGGATATTAACCCTCTGTCAGATGGGTAGATTGCAAAAATTTTCTCCCATTCTGTAGGTTGCCTGTTCACTCTGATGGTAGTTTGTTTTCCTGTACAGAAGCTCTTTAGTTTAATTAAATTCCATTTGTCTATTTTGGCTTTTGGAGCCATTGCTTTTGGTGTTTTAGACATGAAGTCCTTGCCCATGCCTATGCCCTGAATGGTATTGCCTAGGTTTTCTTCTAGGGTTTTTATGGTTTTAGGTCTAACATTTAAGTCTTTAATCCATCTTTAATTAATTTTTGTACAAGGTGTAAGGAAGGGATCCAGTTTCAGCTTTCTACATATGGCTAGCCAGTTTTCCCAGCACCACTTATTAAATAGGGAATCCTTTCCCCATTTCTTGTTTTTGTCAGGTTTGTCAAAGATCAGATGGTTGTAGATGTGTGGTATTATTTCTGAGGGCTCTGTTCTGTTCCATTTGTCTATATCTGTGCTTTGGTATCAGTACCCTGCTGTTTTGGTTACTGTAGCCTTGTAGTATAGTTTGAAGTCAGGTAGTGTGATGTCTCCAGCTTTGTTCTTTTGGTTTAGGATTGTCTTGGCAATGCGGGCTCTTTTTTGGTTCCATATGAACTTTAAAGGAATTTTTCCAATTCTGTGAAGAAAGTCATTGGTAGCCTGATGGGGATGGAATTGAATCTATAAATTGCCTTGGGCAGTATGGCCATTTTCACGATATTGATTCTTCCTATCCATGAGCATGGAATGATCTTCTATTTGTTTGTGTCCTCTTTTATTTCACTGAGCAGTGGTGTGTAGTTATCAGTGAAGAGGTTGTTTGCATCCCTTGTAAGTGGGATTCCGAGGTATTTTATTCTCTTTGAAGCAGTTGTGAATGGGAGTTCACTCATGATTTGGCTGTCTGTTCATCTGTTATTGATGTATAGGAATGCTTTTGATTTTTGCACATTGATTTTGTATCCTGAGACTTTGCTGAAGTTGCTTAGCAGCTTAAGGAGATTTTGGACTGAGACAGTGGGGTTTCCTAAATATACAATCATGTCATCTGCAAACAGGGACAACTTGACTTCCTCTTTTCCTAATTGAATACACTTTATTTCTTTCTCTTGCCTGATTGCCCTGGCCAGAACTTCCAACACTATGTTGAATAGGAGTGGTGAGAGAGGGCATCCCTGTCTTGTGCCAGTTTCCAAAGGGAATGCTTCCAATTTTTGACCATTCAGTATGATATTGTTTGTGGGTTTGTCATAAATAGCCCTTATTATTTTGAGTTATGTTCCATCAATACCTAGTTTATTGAGAGTTTTTAGCATGAAGGGCTGTTGGATTTTGTCAAAGGCCTTTTCTGCATCTATTGAGATAATCATGTAGTTTTTGTCTTTGTTTCTGTTTATATGATGGATTACATTTATTCATTTGTGTATGTTGAAGCAGCCTTGCATCCCAAGTATGAAGCCAACTTGAACCTGGTGGATAAGCTTTTTGATATGCTGCTGGATTTGGTTTGCCAGTATTTTGTTGAGGATTTTTGGATTGATGTTCATCAGGGATATTGGTCTAAAATTCTCTTTTATTGTTGTGTCTTTGCCAGGCGTTGGTATCAGGATGATGTTGGCCTCATAAAATGAGTTAGAGAGGATTCACTCTTTTTGTATTGATTGGAATAGTTTCAGAAGGAATGGTATCAGCTCCTCTTTGTACCACTGGTAGAATTTGGCTATGAATCTATCTGGTTCTTGGCTTTTTTTGGTTGGTAGGCTATTAATTATTGCCTCAATTTCAGAGTGTATTATTGGTCTATTCAGGGATTCAACTTCTTCTTGGTTTAGTCTTGGGAGGGTGTATATGTCCAGGAATTTCTCCATTTCTTCTAGATTTCCTAGTTTATTTGTGTAGAGGTGTTTATAGTATTCTCTGATATTAGTTTGTATTTCTGGGGGATTGGTGGTGATATCCCCTTTATCATTTTTTATTGCATCTATTTGATTCTTCCCTGTTTTCTTCTTTATTAGTCTTGCTAGCTGTCTATCAGTTTTGTTGATCTTTTCAAAAAACCAGTTCCTGGAGTCGTTATTAGCACCCCATTTATTAGCATGCTAGTAAATTTTGGCTACTAAAATTTGCCTACTAAATTTTGGCTACATGGACTGCTAAATTTTGGCTACACTTAGGTGGCAATATATGCATAAAATACAATTCCCAGGGAAATAGTATGTCTATCAATGCTGAGCTGAGAGAAGAGGATGTATTATGCTGTTCATTGTAGCTGCTTGTATTGGCTTTTCTAGTTTGCTAAGCTGGAAAGGAAAAGGATGCAGTAGGCTGTTTTAATTGATACAATGCTTGTTTTTCCTTTTGAGTTTTTGTAGATTTTCTTGAGTACATATTTATTTATTTGCTGCATACATTTAGGAAAAGTACTGAAGATTTTAATTTGTTAAAAAATAAATTTGGAGTTGCTTCTAAGATGGCCAAATAGGAAGAGCTCCCGTCTACAGCTCCCAGTGAGATCAACACAGAAGATGGGTGATTTCTGCATTTCCAACTGAGGTACCTGGTTCATCTCATTGGGACTGGTTGGACAGTGGGTGCAGCCCACAGAGGGCAAACCAAAGCAGGGTGGGGCATTGCCTCACCCGGGAAGTGAAAGGGGTTGGAAGATTTTCCTCTCCTAGCCAAGGGAAGCCATGAAAGACTATACTGGGAGGAATAGTACACTCCTGTCTAAATACTGTGCTTTTCCCATGGTCTTTGCAACCAACAGACCAGGAGATTCCCTCCCGTTCCTGGCTCAGTGGGTCCCATGCCCACAGAGCCTTGCCCACTGCTAATGCAGCAGTCTGAGATCAACCTGGGATGCTGAAGATTGGTGGGGGAGGGGGGGTGGTGTCCACAATTGCTGAGGCTTGAATAGGAGGTTCTATGCTCCCAGTGTAAACAAAAGGGGCAGGGAAGCTCGAACTGGGTGGAGCTCACTACAGCTCAGCAAGTTGTACTGCCTCCCTAGATTCCACCTCTGGGGGCAGGACATATCAGAACAAAAGGCATCAGACGGCTTCTGCAGACTTAAATGTCCCTGCCTGACACCTCTGAAGAGAGCAGTGATTCTCCCAGCATGGTGTTTGAGCTCTGATAATGGACAGACTGCTTCCTCAAGTGGGTCCTGTAACATCATGTAGCCTGACTGCGAGACACCTCCCAGTAGGGGCCAACAGACACCTCATACAGGAAGGTGCCCCTCTGGGATGAAGCTTCCAGAGGAAGGATCAGGCAGCAATATTTGCTCTTCTTCAGCCTCCGCTGGTGATACCCAGGCAAACTCCAACAGATCTGCAGCTGAGGGTCCTGACTGTTAGAAGGAAAACTAACAAACTGAAAGGAATAGCATCAACATCAACAAAAATCAAAGTCATACCAAAACTCCATCCATAGGTCACCAGCATCAAAGACCAAAGGTAGATAAAACCAAAAGATGGAGAGAAACCAGAGCAGAAAGGCTGAAAATTCCAAAACCAGAATGCCTCTTCTCCTTGAAAGGAACACAACTTCTTGCCATCAAGGGAACAAAACTGGATGGAGAATGAGTTTGACAAATTGACAGAAGTAGGCTTTAGAAGGTCAGTAATAACAAACTTTACTGTGCTAAAAGAGCATGTTCTAACCCATCGCAAGGAAGCTAAAAACCTTGAAAAAAGGTTAGATAAATGGCTAACTAGAATAACCAGTGTAGAGAAGAGCTTAAATTACCTCATGGAGCTGAAAACCACAGTGCAAGAACTCCGTGAAGCATACACAAGCTTCCATAGCTGATTCAATAAAGTCAAAGAAAGGATATCAGTCATTGAAGATCAAATTAGTGAAATAAAGTGAGAAGCCAAGATTAGAGAAAAAGAGTGAAAAGAAATGAACAAAGCCTCCAAGAAATATGGGACTACTTGAAAAGACCAAATCTATGTTTGACTGGTGGACCTGAAAGTGACAGGAAGAATGGAACCAAGTTAGAAAACACTCTTCAGGATGTTATCCAGGAGAACTTCCCCAACCTAGCAAGAAAGGACAACATTCAAATTCAGGAAATACAGATAACACCACAAAGATACTCCTCAGGAAGAGCAACCCCAAGACACACAATTGTCAGATATACCAAGGTTGAAATGAAGGAAAAAATGTTAAGGGCAGCCAGAGAGAAAGGTCAGGTTACCTACAAAGGGAAGCCTATCAGACTAACAGCAGATCTCTCAGCAGAAACCCTGCAAGCCAGAAGAGAGTAGGGGCCAATATTTAACATTCTTAAAGAAAAGAATTTTCAACCCAGAATTTCATGTCCAGCCAAACTAAGCTTCATAAGTGAAGGAGAAATAAAGTACTTTACAGACAAGCAAATGCTGAGAGATTTTTGTCACCACCAGGCCTGCCTTACAAGAGTTCCTGAAGGAAGCACTAAACATGGAAAGGAAAAACCAGTACCAGCCACTGCAAAAACATGCCAAATTGTAAAGACCATCGATGCTATAAAGAAACTGCATCAATTAATGGGCAAAATAACCATCTAGCATTATAATGACAGGTTCAAATTCACACATAACAATATTAGCCTTAAATGTAAATGGGCTAAATGCCCCAATTAAAAACACAGACTGGTAAATTGGATAAAGAGTCAAGACCCATCAGTGTGCTGCATTCAGGAGACCCATCTCACATGCAAAGACACATATAGGCTCAAAATAAAGGATGGAGGAAGATCTACCAAGCAAAGGTAAAGCAAAAAAAAAAAAACAAAAAAAAAAAAAACAAAGGTTGCAATCCTGGTCTCTGCTAAAACAGACTTTAAACCAACAAAGATCAAAAGAGACAAAGAAGGCCATTTTGTAATGGTAAAGGTACCAATTCAACAAGAAGAGCTAACTATCCTAAGTATATATGTACCCAATACAGGAGCATCCAGATTCATAAAGCAAGTTCTTAGAGATCTACAAAGAGACTTAGACTCCCACACAATAATAATGGGAGACTTTAACATCCCACTGTCAACATTAGACAGATCAATGAGACAGAAAATTAACAAGGATATTCAGGACTTGAACTCAGCTCTGGACCAACTGGACCTAATATACATCTATAGAACTCTCCACCCCAAAATCAACAGAATATACATTCTTCTCAGCACCACATAGCACTTATTCTAAAATTGATCATTAATTGGAAGTAAGAAACTCCTCAGCAAATGTAAAAAATAATCAAGCAAGTCTCAGTCTCAAATAATAATAATAATAATAATACAGGCTTACAGATTAGGCTTCTTGATCTTGAATGCCTATACCATGTATTAGTAGTTGGATATAATTAGGCTGTTTAGGCTGGGTGCGGTGGTTGATCCTGTAATCCCAGCACTTTAGGAGGCCAAGGTTGTTGGATAGCCTGAGGACAAGTGTTCAA
The DNA here is from genome assembly GCF_000001405.40 of Homo sapiens. Lineage (NCBI taxonomy): Eukaryota > Metazoa > Chordata > Mammalia > Primates > Hominidae > Homo > Homo sapiens. The sequence continues at coordinate 85,734,845 of NC_000005.10, forward strand.
GACCAGCCTGGCAAACATGGTGAAACCCTGTCTCTACTAAAAATACAAAAATTAGCCAGGTGTGGTGGCATGTGCCTGTAATCCTAGCTAGTCTGGAAGCTAAGGTGAAAGAATAGCTAAAACCCAGAAGACGGAGGTTGCAGTGAGCTGAGAGTGTGCCATTGTACTCCAGCCTGGGTGACATAACAAGACTCCATCTCAAATAATAATAATAATAATAATAATAATGCTATTTAAATATCTTTAAATGTCAGGTTTGTTGTGTGTAAAATTGGGTAAAATAATAGTGCCTGCCTCTTTTTAGAGTTATTTGATGATTACAAGAGAAAGTGCATATAAATGTGTGGAATATTAAAGCAAAATACAGTAGTTCTCCACAAAAAAAAAAAAAAAAAAATTTGAACAGTTAAATATCTTTCACTGAAGACTAGGTCTATGAAACTCTCTCCATGCTGCCATTCCAAAGTCTGCATAATTATGAAGTTGATTGAATAATAATCCTTATTATTTGAATAATGATTTTATAAGCATAAGTATCAATATCCTTTCTAATGAAGTTAAGCTTTTTATTCTTGTTTTATCTTAGATAAAATAAAATAAAACATATATTACTGAATTTGCTGCTACTTCTCATTTTAGGAATGAGAAAACCTTGAATTTAATTTCCATGGAGTCAGTGTCTAAAATTAGCTATATCATCACATAGCTAATGATATGTGGACAAATTGGAACTTATATTGCAATTAGTATATATAAAATATATTATATATAATTACAATTATTAATAATACATCATTTATTGAAAAAAATTATTTATAAGGCTGTTTCTTAAACCAACATCATTTTAAAGGTAAACCAATAGCAATTATTTTTACATGCAAATATAATAGAAATTATATAATGTAGTAATAAAGAATAATCAGTTCATTAACTTTGTAAGCATATATATAAATTTTCAATGTGTATTATCTAAGTCATTTTTAGATGTGAAATTAAGCATCTATACTTGCAAAACCAACATAAAACAATAAAGAAAAGTGTTGATTCTTGAGCAAAACCAACTCATTTTTAGTTTTGATTTATCTGTATTAATTCTATTTAAATTTAGGCCAATTTGGGTTTGGATAACTTCTCAGTGTTTCAGTTTAATATCTGACAAATGGCAATAATAACACCAAATAACTTGTGAAATATTTCTGACAAGTAATTTACTTAAAATATGCACCACATTTAGAATGTGCTTTGTAATTTTAAGTGCTCAATAAAAGCAAGTAATTGTTGTTGTTATTGTTGTTCTTATTTATGTTAAAAAAAAAAGACATTACCATTAGGTGTGTTTAAATCTACCATTTGATTTTTCATATATCTCATAGTGATAAAAAAGTCTAGCAATGAATTAATATAAAACTGGGTTTGATGTCCAGCTTACTTCTTGACAACTATTTGACTTGGAAATTTATCCAACAACTGTGAATCTTGATGTTATTACCTTTAAGATAAATATTACAGAAGGGTTAAATAATGTAGTGCAAAAAACGCCTTTCAACTAATAGTAAGCACAAATGTTGGTTTCTGAGATTGGTCTTGGTCTTAATTTTTTCCTTAATTATTAATTATGTAAGCCATATTTTATATTGCTCCATGTTAATGCCTTTTATTTTCAGATATTCTTCAAACTTTATTGTGTATGAATTCTCATTTCTTCTCTATCCTAATATGCTATTGTAAAATTCTCAAAAGCTAAAAAAAGGGGAAAATCTTGCTACATATAAACAAATTAATATTGAAGAAAATTGATTATTTTATTTTATGAATTTGCTTTTTTTCAGGTAAATTCTACTGCCTTTAAATAAAAGGATTGCTATATAGATCAGAACCCATGTTACTCTGAAAGATAAACTTTCTCACTAAATGAATCTAATTTTTTTCCTATGAAAAGGTTTTAATCCATGAGCAAATAGATAACTGTTTTTTTTTCAGATAATTATTCTTGCACTTTCTGTGTCTTCTAACAGAAAAAATTCTTTTATTTTTAATTTTTACTATTTGTGTGTACATAAGAGCTGCCTATAAGATCTCATGAGAACTCACTCACTATCATGAGAACAGCATGGGGAACACTGTCCCCATGATTCAATCACTTCCTTCCCTCAACACTTGGGGATTACAATTCGAGATGAGATTTGGGTGGGGACACAGAACCAAACCATATCAATAGAGTACACAAAATATTTTGATACAGGAATGCAATAAGTAGCAATCACATCATGAAAATTGGCAGTATCCACCCTCTCAGGCATTTACCCTTTGTGTTAGAAACAATTGAATTATACTCTTTTAGTTATTTTAAAATGTACAACTAAATTATTTTACTACAGTCACCTGTTCTGCTATCAAATACTAACTTATTCATTCTTTCTATTTTCTTTGTGTCTATTAACCATCCCCACCTCCCCCCACCAATACCCTTACCAATCCCAGCCTCTTGTAACCATCCTTCTACTCTACATCTCCATGTGTTCAATTGTTTAGATTTTTGCATCCCACAAATAATATTTTACATTCTACAGTAAGTTGTCTTACCGTGCCTGGCTTATTTCACTTAACATAATGACCTCCAGTTCTATCCGTATTGTTGCAAATGAAAGGATGTTATTCTCTTTTATGGCTGAACAGTACTTCATTGTGTATATATACCACATTTTCTTTATCCATTCATCTGTTGTTAGACACTTAGGTTGCTTCCAGATCTTGGCTATGGAAAACACTGCAGCAAAAAACATGGGAGTGCAGATATCACTCAATATTTCCCATCTTTGGAATATATAGCCAGCAGTGAGATTGCTGGATCATACGATAGCTCTATTTTTAATTTTTTGAGGAACTTCTGTTCTGTTCTCCATAGGGGTCATACTAATTTACATTCTCACCAACAATGTGTGAGGGTTTCCTTTTCTCCATATCCTCTCTAGCAGGTTATTGCCTGTCTTTCGGATAAGAGTCATTTTACCTGGGGTGATATGATATCTTATAGTTTTGATTTGTTTGTCTCTTATGAACAATGATGTTGAGCACTATTTTATATGCCAGTTGGCCATTTGTGTGTCTTCTTTAAAGAAGTGCCTATTTAAATTTTTAGTCATTTTTGAATTGGATAATTATTTTTTTTCCTATAGAGTAGTTGGGGCTCATTATGTATTCTTGTTATTCACCCTTTGTCAAATCAATAGTTTGCAAATATTTTTCTCCCATTCTGTGAGGTTTGTTTTCCACTTTGTGGATGACAACTTTGCTGTGCAGAAGCTTTTTAATGTAACGTTATCCTATTTGTCAATTTTTGCTTTAGTTGACTGTGCTTGTGGGGTATTACTCAAGACACTTTTGCCCATACCAATGTCTTGGAAGGTTTCTCCAATGTTTTCTTACAGGAGCTTCATAGTTTGAGTTCTCAACTGTAAGTCTTTATTCCATTTTAATTTGATTTTTGCAAATAGTGAGAGAGAGGGGTCAAGTTTCATTCTTCTGCATAAGGATATCCAGTTTTCCTAACACCTCTTATTGAGAGACTGTCCTTTCTCCAACATATGTTCATGGAACTTTTGTTGAAAATGAGTTCACTGTAGGTTTATGAATATGCTTCTGGGTTCCCTACTATGTTCCATTTGTGTATGTGTCTGTTTTTATGCCAGTACTGCACTGTTTTGATTACTATCGATCTGTAGTATAATTTTAAGTCAGGTAATGTAATTTCTTCAGTTTTGTTATTTTTGTTCATAATGGCTTTGTCTGTTCTGGGTCTTTTGTGGTTCCATGTAAATGTTAGTATTGTTATTTATATTTCTGTGAATAATGTCATTTGTATTTTGATACAGATTGCATTGAATCTGTAGGTTGCTTGGATAGTTTGAACATTTTAACAATATAGATTCTTCCAATCCATGAATATGGACTATTTTTCTTTTTCTTTTTTTTGTTACTCTACCAATTTCTTTCACCAGTGTTTTTTATTTTTTTTTAATTATAGAGGTCTTTCACTTCTTTGGTTAATTCTTAGGTATTTAATTTTATTTGTGGCTATGGTAAATGGAGTTACTTTTTTATCTCTTTTTCAGACTGTTTGCTGTTGGCATATAGAAATGCTATTGATTTTTTATTTTAACCTTGTATCCCACAACTTTGCTAAATGTTCATCAGTTCTAATAGTTTCTTGGTGGAGTCTTTAAGTTTTTTCAAATATAAAATTATATCACCTGTGTGTTAGTCCATTTCCACAATGCTATAAAGATACTACCTGAGTTTGGGTAGTTTATTTAAAAAAAAAAAAGGTTTAATTGACTTACAGTTCCACAGGCCTGGGGAAGCCTTGGGAAGCTTAAAATCATGACAGAAGGTGAAGGAGAAATAAGGCATGTTTTACATGGCAACAGAAGAGAGCATGCAAGGAAGTGCCACATTTTAAAGCCATCTGCTCTTGTGAGAACTTACTCACAATCCTGAGAACAGCATAGAGAAAACTACCACGGTGATCCAATCACTTCCCACCAGGTCCCTCTCCCAACATTGGGAATTACAATTTGAGATGAGGTTTTGGTGGGGACCCAGAGCCAAGTCATATCATTCCACCTCTGGCCCCTCCCAAATATCATGTCCTTTTTACATTTCAAAACCAATCATGACTTCCCAAGAGTCCCCTTAAGTCTTAATTTATTCCACCATTAACTCAAAAGTCTTAGTCTAAAGTCTCATCTGAGACAAGGCAAGTCTCTTCTGCCTGTGAGCCTGTGAAATCAAAAGCAAGTTAATTAGTGCCAAGATACAATAAGAGTACAGGCATTGGGTAAATGTTCCCATTTCAAATGGGAGAAATTATCCAAAACAAAGGGGCCACAGGCCTCATGCAATTTCAAAATTCAACCAGTCAATTATTAAATATTAAAGCTCCAAAATCAACTTTGATTCCATGTCTTACATCCAGGACATGCTGATGCAAGGGGTGCACTCCCACAATCTTGGGCAGTTCTGCCTCTGTGAATCTGCAGTTTTCAACCACTGCAGCTGCATTCAGAGGCTGGTGTTGAGTGTCTGTGGCTTTTCCAGGCACACGGTACAAGCTGTAAGTGGATCTATTATTCTGGGTTCTGGAGGATGGTGGCCCTCTTCTGACAGCTCCACTAGACAGTGCCCCAGTGGGGACTTTGTGTGGAGGCTCCAACCCCACATTTTACCTTTGCACTGCCCTAGCAGAGGTTCTCCATGAGGACTCCGTCCCTGTAGCTGACTTCTGCCTGGACACCTGGGCATTTCCATACATCCTCTGATATCTAGGCAGAGATTCCCAAACCTCAATTCTTGTCTTCTGCACACCTGTAGGTTCAACACCACATGGAAGCTGCCAATGCTTGGGGCTTGCTTCCTCTGAAGCAATAGCCCAAGCTGTACCTTGGCCCCTTTTAGCCACAGCTGGAGATGGAGTGGCTGGGATGCAGGGCACCAAGTCCTGAGGCTGCACAGAGCACTGGGGCCCTGGGCCTGGCCCATAAAACCATTTTTCACTCCTAGGCCTCCAGATCTCTGATGGGAGGGGATGCCGAAAAAAGGACATGTCCTAGAGACATTTTCCTTATTGTCTTGGTGATTAACATTCAGCTCCTCAATACTTATGCAAATTTCTGCAGCCAGCTTGAATTCTTCCCTCAAAATGGGGTTTTCTTATCTACCACATTGTCAAGCAGCAAATTTTCCAAATCTTAATGTTCGGCTTCCCTTTTAAACATAAGTTCCAATTCCAAACCATCTCTTTGTGAATGCATATAACTGAATTATTTCAGAATAAGCCAGGTCACTTCTTGAATGCTTTGCTGCTTAGAAATTTCTTCCACCAGATACCCTAAGTCATCTCTCTCAAGTTCAAAATTCCACAGAACTCTAGAACAGAGCAAAAATACTGCCAGTCTCTTTGCTAAAGCATAGCATGAGCGACTTTTACTTCAGTTCCCATTAGGTTCCTCATCTCCATCTGAGATCTCCACAGCCTGGACTATCCACAACCTGCACTATCTGCATTTTGGTCAAAGCCATTCAACAAGTTTCTAGGAAGTTCCAAACTTTCCCCAATCCTCCTCTCTTCTTCTGAGCCCCCCAAACTGTACCAATGTCTGCTTGTTACCTAGTTCCAAAGTCACTTTTATATTTTCAGTTATCTTTATAGTAGTGCTGCACTCTCGGCACTAATTTTCTGTATTGCTCCATTTTCACACTGCTATTAAAAATACTTCCTGAGACTGGATAACTTATAAAGAAAAGAAGTTTAATTGGCTCAAATTTTACATGGCTAGGGAGGCCTTAGAAAACCTCCAATTATGGCAGAAGGCAAAAGGGGAAGCAAGGCATGTCTTACATGATGATAGGAGAGAGCAAGAGAGATGGCACAAGTAAGTATCACACTTTAAGACTATCAGCTCTCTTGAGAACTTGCTCACTATCATGAGAACAGCATAAGGGAACCACCTCCACGATCCAATTACCTCCCACCAGGTCCCTTTCCTAACATTGGAAATAACAATTCATGATGAGATTTGGGTGGGGACAGAGCCAAACCATATCAATATGTAAACAGGGATAATTTGACTTTTTCCTTTCTTATTTGGACGTTCTTTATTTCTTTCTCTTGTCTGATTGCTCTAGCTAGGACTTCCAGTACTATGTTGAATAAAAGTGATGACAGTGGGCATCCTTGTCATGTTCTACTTCTTAGAGAAAAGGCTTTCAGTTTTTGTTGGAAAGACTTTCAGCATGATTCTAGCTGTGGGACTGTTGTGTACTGCTTCAATTATATTAAGGCATGTTCTTTCACTCCCTATTTTGTAGGGTTTTATCATAAAGGGATGTTGAATTTCATCAAATACTTTTTCAGTATCAATTGAAATGATTGTATTGATTTTGTCCTTTATTCTGTTAATATGATGTATCCCATTGACTGATTTGCTTATATTCAACCATCCTTGCATCCCTGGGATAAATCCCACTTGGTCATAATAAATGATCTTTTCAATGTATTGCTGAATTTGATTTGCTAATATTTTGTTGAGGATTTTACACCAATAATCTTCATCAGAGGTATTGGCCTGTAGTTTCCTTTTTTAAATTTCTGTTTGTCTGGTTTTGGTGTGAGTGTAATACTGACCTTGTAGAATGAGTTTGGAAGTAGTCTCTCCTCTATTTTTTTTCAAAATAGCTTGAGTAGAATTTATATTAGTTCTTCTTTAAATATTTGCTGGAATTCAGCAGTGAAGCCATCAGGTCCCAGGGTATTTATTTATTTATTTATTTATTTATTTATTTATTTATTAATGGGGAGACTTTTTATTATGTCTTTGTTCTCATTACTTTTTATTGGTTGTTCAGGTTTTAGATTTCTTTATTGTTCAATTTTGGTGAATTATATGTGTTTAGAAATTTATCTATTTCCTTTAAATTTTCCAATTGACATGTAGATGCTCATAGTAGCCACTAATAATCATTTTAATTTCATCAGTATCCATTAGAATCACTCCATTTTCATCTCTGATTTTATTTATTTGCATTTTTCCTCTTTTTTCTTCATTTTATCTGCTAAAGATTTATCAATTTTGCTTACCTTTTTGTAAAACCAACATTTCTTATCACTGATTTTTATATTGTATTCTTCATTTCAAATCTATTTATTTCTGCTTCAATCTCTATTATTTCTTCTACTAATTTGGGGTTTGGTTTGCTCTTTTCTAGTTCTTTAAGATGCATCATTAGATTATTCATGTGAAGTTTTTCTTCTTTTTGATGTAGACACCTAACGCTGTAAATTCACCTTCTAGTACTGCTTTCACTGTATCCCATAGAATTAGGTATGGTTTGTTTCCATTGTCATTTGATTCAAGACATTTTTCAATTTCCTTCTTGATTTCTTCATCCACCCAGTGGTCATTCAGGAGCATATTGTCTAATATCCATATGTTGCCAAAACTCCTCTTGTTGCTGATTTCTAGTTTTATTCCATTGTGGTTGCAGAAGATGCTGGATATTATTTCTCTTTTTTTAATGTTTTAGACTTGTTTTTTGGCCTAACATATAATCTATCCTTGAGAATAATCCAGGCACTGAAGAGAAGAATGTTTTCTGCAGCCTTTGGATAAAAAGTTCTGTAACTATCTGTTAGGTCTATTTGTTCAATAGTGCAGATTACGTTTGATATTTCATTGCTGAGTTTCTGTCTGAGAGATCCGTCTAATGATGAAAGTGAGCTGTTGAAGTCTCCAGATTTTATTGTATTGAGGTCTCTCTCTCTCTTCAACTCTAACAATACTTGCTTTATATATATATGGGTGCTCCAGTGTTGGGTGCATATATATTTACAATCTTTATATACTGTTGCTGGATTGACCCCTTTATCATTATACAATGACCTTCTTTCAATATACTTTTTGTATTGAAATCGATTTTGTCTGACATCAGTGTAACTGCTACTCCTCTTTTTCATTTCCATTTGCATGGAATATCTTTTTCCATCCCTTTATTTTCAGTCTATGTGTATCTTTACAGGTAAAGGGTGTTTCTTATAGGCAATTGATCATTGGGTCTTGTTTTTTAATCCGTTCAGCCTTTCTGTTTTTGATTGGAGAATTTAGTTCATTTACATTCAATTTTATATTATCAATGAGTGGAAATTTATTCCTGCCATTTTGTTATTTGTTCTTTGGTTGTTTTGTGTTCTTCTCTACTTTTTTTCCTTTCTTCCTGTCTTCCTTTTAGTGAGCTGATTTTTTCTGGTGGTGCAATTTAATTACTTGCTTATTTATTTTTATTTTTTATATTTCTTGTATGTCTTGTAGTGTCTTTAAGTGAACATCAGTGGTAGCCTGGCAGCCACCCCCTTGTAGGCCAGTGGTGGTGGTTCCCACGACATGAGAATGCAAAAAATCATAGTGATATTGGGCTTGGGGCCCAATTACTTCCAAATACATGAAAAACCTTCTCAAGAATAACAGGCACAAACCAGCCCAGACTGCAAAGACTATAATAAATACCTAATTCATCAATACACAGACACTGGCAAGCATCTACAAATCAAGATCATCCAGGAAAATGTAACCTCACCAAACAAACTAAATAAGGCACCAGGGACCAATACTGAAGAAACAGAGACATGTTACCATTCAGACAGCGAATTCCAAATAGCTGTTTTGAGCACTTCAGTCAGCTGTGGTGAAAGTTTCTAGGTCTTGACTCACACTTCAGGGTGGTGGGCTCCCCTCTAGCCTGGAGCAGTTTCAGAAATGCTGTCTAAGATCCTAGATCTGGACTTGGGGACTCCAAGAACCTTCTTGTTGCTCTACTTCACTGAGACCAAGCTGATACCTAAGGTACAGAACAAAAACCCCTTTACTGTTCACTATGCTTTTCTCAAATATAAGGAGTCTTTCACCACAGCCACCACAACTGGGAATGTGCTGGGCCACACATGTAGTCAGCAAGTCTCAGAGCCTAAGGCCCACAGCATACCCACTGGATATCACTGGTGGTTATTCAGGGGCCCAGGGCTTTTAGGCAGTAAGTGATGAATCCTGTCAGGACTGAGTCCTTTTCTTCAAGACAGCTGGTTCCATTTTGTCCCTGTGTGTATCTAGAAATGTCATCTAGGAGCTAGGGCCTGGAATGCGGGACTCGTGAATCTGCCTGTGGCCTTATTCTACTCTGGCTGAGCTTGTATCCAAGATACAAGACAAAGTACTCTTTACTCTTTGCTCTCCTTCCTTGAAGCAGAAGGAAGGAGACACTCTTGTTGCTGTGAGCTGCAGTACCTGGGGTTAGGAGAGGAGTGGCACATGCATTCTTTAGCCTCCCTGGCTATCATCTCCCTAGAGCATGTACCACCCTAGTCCTCTGGCTCTGAGCCCAATCCAGCAATAGGAGTTGTCTAGGAATTGCAATTTTTGTGCCCTAAACTGCCTTTCGAATTTACCTAGAACCCCAGAGCACTTTGGCCCATGGTGGCAAGGCTTGCCAAGAAACTCAAGTTTCAACCAATGGGCTGAGCAATTCCTCTCTTGCTAGGTATGGTCCAAATGCTCCCTCTGTGTTCCAAGCACGAAGCTGTATCCCAGCACAGCTTTGCTCTTTGCTGTGACAGGGTGATAGTGAGTTCAATGTAATGTCCTCTAGTTAGTGCACTTTTCGTCCCCCAGGTGCACACTCACCATGCTGCAGCTTCAAGGCTGCTAGCAGCAGATGGGAAAGAGGTGGAGTCAGCATTTGAAGACTGTCTCTCTAGCCCTCCTAAATGCCTTTTCAATGATGTGAAGTTAAACCAGGTACTGTGATTACTCACCTGATTTTTGGTCCTTTTGGCAGTGCTTTTCTGTGCGCACATACTTGTTAAAATTTTGTTTTTGTAGGGGGATAGGAATGTGTAGGCTTCTAAATCCACCATCTTGCTCTGCCCCAGCAAAACATTTCTTTTTATACTGAAATGTAATTTAGAAAATGTAGTTTTATGAAAAAAATAAGAATTTTGCTACAATATGTATTCATTGTTGAAATCAATAAATACAACAATCTTTATTGTTGAAGCAATGTTAAAACAAATTGTTTAATATTAGATGTAATTTTCAACAGTGAAGAAAATTAATTGATCTAAAATCTCAAATTACTAAGGTTAGTTCTATTGTCCCAATGTATGCTTTTGTTCGTTTTTAATTTTTGAACATATATTACAAATTATTTTTACAAAAGATTACACTAAATATGCTTCATTTTTTCTCAATTGCTTTTTTAACACTGTGAAACTTTTCTCTAAGTTCTTCCATATTTTTAAATGATACAGTGATACCAAATATTATATAATTGATGCATTTTCTAAAATTCTAATATAAAATATTTTATATTTAAGATTCACACTGTAATGAGCAAAAATCTGCATACATTTATGCTAATTTCAATTATGAAATTAGAATAAGAATTAAAAATAGAATTGCAGGATCAGACAGAGTGAAAATTTTTTATGGTACACAATACAGTATTGATTACTAAAGATTATGTTAAGAGTATTCAATATAAAAAAAATCAACACTTAGATTTAAAATTCACAACCATAAGCAGAATGGTAACGTGTAATCTGCCTACAAATCCTTCCACACTTATCTAACCCAGTGCTACATAAAAATAGTATAGAAATGGACAGTAAGCTTTTATAAAATGTTATGGCAATTTGACAGAACAATGATAAGTCTGTTCAATCTAATAATAAAAATAAGTCTATATGTTGTACACCTTTAATTTCATTTTCCTGATAATTCACTTTTGTTGTGTTTTAGATACTCACAAGAGATTGAAAATTAAAAGCAAAATATGACAAACCATAGGCAAATGGCCTGAAAAAATATAGACTAGACCTCCTGAAGCTTGAAGAGGGCAACAAGAGCATTTAGAGAATTTATTGTATTGTTCATCCCTTTCTGGAGAAGAGCCAAAAAATTTGTCAAACTGGATCTTTTAAGGTGTGTACTTAAAGATGCATTGCCTTTCTACCTGGCAACATCAGAGGCAGAACTATAATGACAAAAATTTGGATTCTTCCAGTTAAGTACATAGGACTTGGAATCACCAGCTCATATCCTGAAATATTTTGAGGGACTGTATCCAATCCATGCTACAGATGGGTAGCATGGCAATCCTTTGGTATCATCTGTGACCTAAGAATCATGGTTTGGGGCCCAATAGCTGTTCTTCAGGAATGGTCAGGGACAGAGGTCAGCTTATGTAATGATACAGACTGTTGAGATGGTATAGCACTTCAGCACTGCCTAGATTGATGGTTGCATTAAGCTACTTCTATTCTTTTTGTTTATCTTTGCACTAATGGCATAGCTACCCTAGTGATTATAGTTTTATAATATCATAATATTACAAGTCTACTAGCTTTTTATTCGTCTTCAAGATTCCATTGGCTTTTCTTGATCTTTGCATTGCCATTTACAAAAACAGCTTGTAACATAGATACTCAAATAAGATATTCAAATCAGTGGAGAGATTGGGAGATTGTTTTCCTTTTATAAATCAGATACATTTAGTATTTTATATGGATTAACACTTTTCCTATAAATCACACAATTTATTAACATTATCAAATATATCCAAATATGAATTACATAAATTATTTAATAAAAGCTTATGTTTTGTAATATAATTTATATCTATTAGAATAAGATGTTTGGAGGAACAATAGAGAGGCAAACTATTATTAAATTATTTTAATAAAAGAGGTTTTGATGATAATATTGTCACTTTAGTTTTCTTCATAAATGGATGATTATGGATTTACTCTCAGGAGCCCTAGGCCACTGCCCATTCTAAAGGAATATTCCCAGGGAATGACCAAAGAGAGTTGCTGTAAAATCCTAAAAGACCAAAAAGTCTAAACACTTAGTTCTATCCTTGAGTCTTTAGCTATATGTCAGGGCTTTGAGATTGCTGAAAAATCAAAACAACAGAAGAAAAAAGAAAGATCTTATTGGTAAGAATAAAAGATGAGACAAAAATAAATGAGAATTTGATAATTTCTCTTCAATAAGAGATTCCGTCATATAAATACCTGAAATTTTAAAGCCTCTTCCTGTTATAATCTATCAGTTCCTATTATAAAATACATTGATTCAAGAAAGATAGTTGTCCCAACTTCCTGTTTTGGGGAATAGGAATCATATTTCTTTCTTCATAAAAGAACAAGCCTCATATATTCACACATTCTACTGTTATATTATCTCTTCTATTCAGTCACCAGACATGACGTTGTAATTTTCAGTATCAGTAGTGTATTTTTGCCCTCTCTTTCGGCTTCTGTGCTGTAATGGTGACCTATTAATAGTCTTTCTATTCTCTGTACTAACAAAAAAAAAGAAGAATGTGAATAAAATGTATTAATTCAAGATTTATTTTAAAGTTATAGAAATTTTTCAATTTGAAATATATTATCTTAAAATAAGTCTATTTAACTAATTTTTGTATCATCTTATTGAAGCAACATGCAATTAATCAAAACTTTACCTTTCAGTTAAATGCTACTATTTATCAATTTTATTTGTATAAAATGAAATTTCTCTCTGAAGAACTAACTGGAGTTATCACAATAGAAAATAACATTCTGGTTTTCTTCTCTAAAGGATTTTTTTTGTGTGTGTTCTTTCTTTGTGATTCTCACAATAAATAGCTAGATTACAATAGCAACCTACCTGGTGAGCTGAAATGCCGTATCACAGGCTTTTAAGATACTGTGCCTCCCTGCTAATTTACTTTTTAATATTGTATACAAAAGACCACTTATGAATGATAAAACAAATCCTAGGAAAATGTAATGGGTCATCTGTTTCTAAACAAAGATCATTAAAATTTATTCTTCCATTAACCAGCATATAGAGAATTTATATTAGATAATATTTTATAATTATGTTAAAAACAATAAGCAAAATAATATAAGTATTTATTGTTAACCTTTTTCTCCCATAATTATGTTAATATGCCTGTCCTATTTATTTTAAATATTTTGAATATGTAAGCTAAGATAACTGATATGAATTATCTCTTGGACTAGATACAGATGTTATTACATACTGTTAATATTTGCCTTTAAATATAAAGTATATCATCAGACTTACAACATTTTGTTATCAAATTACTAATTATAAAGATAAATCTAAATCATAATCTTCAAAACAGCATGAAATTATTTGTTTCAATACTTGAGTTCATTAAGTATGATCTATTAGTATATTCATTTTAGTATTTGGCGCTCAGAATTTTTTTCTTTTAAAGACTTGAAACAGTTGTTTATATTTTAAGTGTATTATTTGAACTATTTATTTCTTGGTGTGTTTAACTGTTTTTTCTAGATTTATGAAGTACAATCTGCTTATTATATAGTAAATATTTTAGATACATTTGTAAACAAATCTATGAATGTTCATCTTTCACTGATATATTGTTCCAGTACTGTATATTTCATCCTTTATATATTAACATTTGATACCATTAGAACACATGTTGTTGTATGCTGTGAATAATTTTTAAATGCTATTCAGTTGATGCAACACCAATATTTAAATTTTCTTGAAATATTAATTTACAGGTATGCATCATAATAAATTAATGGCTTTATACCTAGAGTTGTCCTGGGTATTCTATAACGAAAACTTATTTCTTTCACTTTGAATCCGCAAAGCAACTTTGTTGCTGTCATTTTTGTGTGCTTGGTTTGATTGTTTGTAATATAAATAAAATTTGATGTTCTTGGCCATAACAGAATACTTTGTATTTTACTAACCATCCTATAGAGAACAATTGTAAAAGCTGGAAGACACTAGAGATAAATCAGTGAGCTTTGAGGGACTCCAGTTCTTACAAGAAGAAAAGCACAGAGGTGCATTTTCTTTGAAGAAATTTTTCAAATGTTTTTCTTTTTTTTTCTCCAAGTGAACTTTCCATATTCACCTAGGGGTAAAGTGAATGCAGGAAGCAGTGGTCACACTGGGCTCAGCATGCAGAGATCAGAGTTGGGGCTGCTAACGTGGCTTGGATATAAAACGAAATATTCCAAAGAGAATGGATTTCCTACAAGGAGCCCAAAACTTTTGACACAGATTCTGCTCAAATTTATTGATCAGCTTCTAAGCTCACAGCCTAGAGGAAGTCAGCTAGAAGCTCAGCAGCAGTAAGAAAGAGGAAAGTTATATTCTTAGCAGATATTTCAACAGCTGTGTCATGCAAGATGAGATGGGCTGTAGTTTATGCTTTGCCAACAGGGTTGTGCATTGAAAAACACCTCACAATTTTAGAAGAGCCATGCTCTTGGTGGAAAAAATGTCAGATAACAATTCTGCAACCTGGTTCAATATATGTCATCAGTTAATTTATCAGAATACTGTTTGACTTTCTGGAAGTGCTTCTCTATGACTCTTGACTCTTCCAGTGGGTTCTTGATTTCTCCTTGGTTTTGTCTTTTCCATAGTTAATGGCTTAAGTTTGCAACTAAGATGTTTCTCATTGTTTTGACATCTTAAAAATAAGTTTATTTCATAATTTATTTTTCTGGAAGAAACTGGGAATGCAAAAGGGTTTTGTTATTGGACCTAGCCAACTTGCTATTTGTTATTGGACCTAATCTTTACTTATTTATATTTTCTTTAATTTCTTGGCCTTCCCCCTGTTCATAAAAACTTTCTTTTCATTTTGTGTTGTCCTTTTTGAGTTTAAACTTGTAGTGCTTGTATCAGTATAATTATTTTTAAAATGCTTTTAGTTTCTTGTGAATTATATTGGGGTTTACTACTTGGGAAAAAAAGTCACATCTATGAATCTTTTTGAAACCATCCTTCTCTATATGGAGTCATAGTGAGACTCTTATTCAACTACATCCTAAGCTTCTTAAAAACTCTATTGCTTAACAGGGAGGACTTGAGACACACTTATAAAATTCATAAAGTTTATTTTCTAGCTCAAAAGCAGGCAAACTTTTTCTTAAAGGGACAAATAGTAAACATTTTAAGCTTGTAGACTACATGGTCTCTGAAACAACTATTCCACTCTACTGTTGTAGAACAACAGCAGCCATAGATAATATGTAAACAAATGGACACGGATATGTCCTGTTAAAATTATTCAGAAAAACACATGGCCACCCATGAACTGTTGTTTTCCAACTTGTGCTACAACCATAGGTTCTATCATCTTTTTGATGCCCTACAAAGGATGTTTGTCCAAGAGACAACTTGCTGGGCAAGGCTAGAATTTGTCAGTTTTATTTTATTTATTTATTTATTTAGAGACGGAGTCTCACTCTGTCGCCCAGGCTGAAGTGCAGTGGCACGATCTCGGCTCACTGCAAGCTCCGCCTCCTGGGTTCGTGCCATTCTCCTGCCTCAGCCTCCCGAGTAGCTGGGACTACAGGCGCCCACCACCACGTCAGGCTGAATTTTTATATTTTTGGTAGAGACGGGGTTTCACCGTGTTAGCCAGGATGGTCTCGATTGCCTGACCGCGTGATTCTCCCTCCTTGGCCTCCCAAAGTGCTGAGATTACAGGCGTGAGCCACCGCACCCGGCCTAGTTTTATTTTTAAGTCTAGTAAGTCCTGGTTCATTTATATTTTCTATTTTTTTTAAACATGAGTTATTTTTTATTAGTTGATTTCTTTCTCCTCATATTTTATTATGGGCAGCTATAAGATGCCAATTGGCACAGTATGCATTTTACTTGGGAATCCTCCCAGCCAGCCATGAGTCTGTTAAGAGTACCCTTTCTATGTCCCACATTACTGCAGGTGACAGTGGTGTTAAACTGCACTACTGTACATGTAGGTTCCCCTTTACTACAACTCCTACTAACATTTTTCTCATTGTAAATTAAGCCTTAAACAGCAATCTCTTCCAAGCACTTCCATTTTTCCTAACACGCTACTGAAGCTTTTTCTAGCATTTACCAAGTCTCCTTGAGAATCTCCCATATTTTTCCTGCTGTCTAGTCCAACACTAGTGTCAAAGTAGTTAGCTTTTGGTTATGACAACACACCACTTTTGTTAGCAGATTCTCTGTTAGATATTACTAAATAACCAACTATCCTAAAATCTGGGACCTCAAAACCATCAAGCATTTTAATACAGCCCATGATTTTTGGTAGTCAAAAATGGGGACGGGGCTCTGTGGAGTGATTTTTCAGTTCTGTTCAGTGTCAAGTGTTGTCATTAAATATTATTCAGCTGTGAACTAGATTGCTCTGGGTAATATAAAATGATTTTTCTTATATGCCTGGCAACTTTGCAGGGCACTTGAAAGGACGGACTTAGCTAAACCACTTTCTTTCTCCACTTAGTCCCAGAGAGTTTTTACATGGCCTCTTGGCAGAGAATTCAGACTTCCTACTCAAATCTTGGAGATCCAAGTGATGGAGGCAGAAGTAATAGTCTTCGTAAATGCTAGATATTAATCTAGCTTAGTATCATTCAAACTATTTTCTATTTTTCAAAGTAATCATGGGCCAGCCCTCATTTGAGGTGGGGACACGATATGGATCCCATCTTTTAATAGGAAGATTGTCAAAGAACATGTGGCTATTTATACATATATGTGGCTGTTGGGACTGACATCTATAAAGTCAAACTTCAAAATATTCACCTTGCATATAAAAATTTGAATGTCACTTAAAAAATTCTGTCATCTTTTTCTGTCATGGGGTCTCTGGTATCTGATAACACATTATGATTTATTATATTTATTTTATTTAATATAAAGAAAATATTCATAAACTATTTCATTGTAGATGTGTGTTTTAGGGGGGTAGTAGTGGTAGAATAATTTAGGTTTTATTAAATTATCTATATTTTGTTTTATTTATGTCATAAAGTCTGGAAGGGGTAGAAGACAAATAATTAATATGATATTAATAACTATTATTCTTTAAACCTCCATATGTAGAACCTAGAGAGCATGGTCTATTTTCCACTCTACTGCATTAATGAATCAATGCACATGTAAATGTAGGCCTGGAGCAAAAGGGGAAGCATTAGAGCTAAATCACTTTATAGAGTAGATTGGATATTATTGAATTCCTGCAGGAAGAATGAGTTGCTGTAGTATTTGAAATATGAAATGGTAGAGTCTAGGGAGATGAATCTTAACTATTTTATAAGATGCCTAGGGACATTTAATAAAAGTTATCTCTAATATTCAATTTTTGATTTATTTTTATCCTGAAATGTCAACCCCCTTTAAATTCCCAAAACTTTCAGTAAAATATGCTACAACATATTACATGCTAACTAGAACTATTGAAGCATCATTTTTGGGTTCATTTGGATTTGCATTTTTTTAAAGGACCTATTTAGCCATCATTAACTTACTTTATTTAAATAACTCACTACCCAATTTTTAAAAGTTAAAGCTACCTTGAAATTGATTTATTTAATATATATATTTGTGCAATTATTAGCCATGAATATAATGTGTGTTGAGAAATTATTTAGCGATATGGTTGTACATATAGAAGTAAAAATAAAACTGAATAAAGTTTTCCACTCTTTATTATATGAAGTTTTCATATAGAAATGCAATTGCTTAAAATGTAACAACTATTCCAAATGGTCTAATATTAAATTAAAATGAATATTATATCTGTATATCAGTACAAAGTAATGTGCTGTTATTTGCAGGGAGGCCTATATTTGGTCCTCAATATTCAAAATTCATCAATGTTTCATTTGTTTTAAGTAATGCAGAAAATAGAAATTTTTAGAAAAGTCTCAGCTATTTGTCACCTGTGGAGGTTCAGCAAAATCTTAGTGATTAATACATCTATAGAGCAGTCAATAGGTGACCTCTGATAAATCTGATTATTACCATATCACATGAATAGCTCATTTATCAGCCTTTGTATACCCTAGTTCTGTCTGTGCATATGCTGGAGAAAGATAATCACACAGTGCTTGGAACAAAGAAATTGGTTTGTTTTTTTCTAGTTTTGCAATTAAGAGAAAAAAAATAAAAACTGGGTTAGACAGATCAAAGATCTTTAGCTAAAAGGAATTTTATTTTCAAATTCAGTAAGAAAAAAGCCCAGGAAACAGAGTCTGTAAAGCTTGATATTATATTCTTTCCAAAACCAACCAGTAGGTAACATCTATGTATTCTAAAATTAAATCACACTAACATGCTTTTAATAAATTTCTGGATTTTTTAAGTTCATATGGTGAATATTTAACATCTCAATAATATTTTTATTTCTCAAAAAATAGACAATCTAAATTTAGAAACTTTTATAATAAATGTGCTGTGTTTCAAAACTCATGATTATTATCTCTTCCACCAATTGACAGACTCTAAATTTGAACTTTTTTCAAAATATGTATATCTGTATTAATATCTCTCTTTCTATTATTAGGAAGAGCTATATTAAAAGACCTACTCAGTATTTTTGTCTCTCTGCTCACACATGTGATAAAGCAGTGTATTGTGCTAAATATTTTTGAGAAAAAGAACAAATTTAGTATTCTTGTATGTGTAATTAAAGTAGCATACACATTTAAAGAATGATTTAATGTTGAGTTACAATGCTTTGAATCTATCAAAAATTAATCCTCCCCAATTTGAAAGTAAACCTTTACGTTTATTTGTCACAATAAGCTCTCTCCCAGCATTTTACAAAGGAGAAAAAAACAAAATACTGAAGAGGTGATATTGAAATAACATAAGACGGTGAGATAACTCAGAGAATAAAAAACTGAAAATTACAGAGAGACGATAAATTCCAAATGACATAGTGAAAAGTACAACATAACTATAACCCAGGGAATTTAATATAAGAACCCCTGTCCATACCTGCCCTTATTCAGGCGTACTTGCATTCAAAATGGTGACATCCAAGTAGTTGATATGTACAGTACTTCACAAAGCTGAATATTATTAATGTACAGGCATAGTCCAAAGAAATCACTTTATAAAATAATCTTTCTTAAATAATAAAACTTTCCCTTAATTTTAGAGAGAGTATGCAAATTTTTAAATTTATAAATATGCCTTTGACTTTGAAATTATCAAGTTACTGCTGAATGTCTGTTATTTTGACATAAATAGTACTCCTCATAGGTTAGTGTCTTCTGCAGGTTTTTTATATGATCTTAGTATTATTCACTTTTATCTTAGCCAGACTTATATCAAGACTTCAGTGCATTCTAATGGTTATGGTTTTATTAGGTTGGTACAAGACTAACTGCGTTTTTTTGTCATTAAAAGTAATGACAAAAGCCGCAATTACCTTTGCACCAACCAACCAAATATATCTATAAGCCAATACATCCAGACATCTTACATGTTTAGTAATGTCATTAAATATCAATTACATGTAATCACTGATATAATCAGCAATCTTATCACATCTGATAATTTTTGAGAGATTTTCCACAATTCTATTTTTATTTCATTAATTTTTTATTTATATTTTTAAAAATTCTTTAAAAATGAATATTATATGTGCATGATTTCTTACAAATGTCTAGGTATACTATTTACGATCAGGGGTCCAAACTGTTGATAACAGCTCCCTTCTCTAACTCAAGATATTAGGGTAGATGAAGTCAAACTTTTAAGCTTTGTTCCACATATTGTAATTTTCCACATATTGTTATTGTTCAAATCTCGTGTTATTCATGAACTATATAAGCAATTCAGTGAACTCCAAAAAATGCTTTTGAATCTCCAATTTTCTCATGTAGATTGCAGTATAGGAGAAATGTGTTGCCATCTTTGTAATGTTTAAATTGAATCAATTACATCATTTTATCTCCTGTGATTCTTATTCCAGTAATTCAGCTCTTTTTGATTCCTTGACATTGATGCTATTTTTGTGTATGTAAACTGTGTCATTTGTAATCCATAAATTCCCATTAGCTCTTTGTTGTTTGTCCTCTAGCAGATCATTTTAAAGGGCTTATGAGAATTGCTATTATATTTGTCTTAGAAGGGGCTGGTTACTTTTTTGATCAAGCTGGTTATCTTATAAATAGTAATTACCCAGTATCTATCTTCTTAGGGCTCTGTACAAAATCTTATCACTGCACGTTTTTGACTCAAATAAATATTTATACAACCAATTTTATAAATTCATTTAAACTGTATGGAGCTATATGCTAATTTATTCTTTTCAAAGTAACATGTCATATACCTTAGAAGAATATATCCTAGGAGGCAATGATACTTCCAGAACATTATGGTTTTATAATTTGTGAAGGATAATTGAGAACTTTTCGATAGTCACAATTACATTCATAATTGTTTTCAACATACCGCTTTGTTTATGTATTGTGAATGTTTAAAATTGTAAGGCCTTGGGATAAGATTTCCATATTAACTGTCTTACACTGTATTGTTTCTCCAGTTTTACCACATATACTTCAAAATAAATCATTTATTGTATTTCAACTTAGACTAAATTAATACATTTCAACTCAGAGTCATAATTTCAGTCCCTATTTTTTAGAAAGAAATGCAATTAGCTTTGATAGAATAACAATGAGGAAATAAAATATCCTCTAAGAACATGATTAGAAATATATATGCACAGGCATGTGTGTGTGTGTGTGTGTGTGTGTGTGTATGTGTACATTTGTCTTGGTTTGTGTTTGTCAGTACAGATATATTTCTACAATTTTTATTCATATCGTATTTAGTACTTAGAGTAACCAAGAAAATAATGAAAGTGCACTCATATGTATTATAGTGAACATTAAGATTCTGAAAGCAAATTCAGACTGATTAATACAGTCACACATACAAATTCCCAAGATATTATAAACAGTTTTAAAACATTCTAACAATGAAAAGGCCTTCAGAAATGTAAGGTTAAGATAATGGACTGAAAATAGAAAAACAATATATTATCACAATGCAGGGGATAGGAATAATTAAGCAGTCAGGCAATATTCTTTTAATTTGGTGACCACAAATGTTATAGCTGTAAATTTGATCTCTGAAATCAGAGGAATTAAGTTTCTCACAAGTACAACATGGTTCCTGCCATCAAGTGGTAATAGTTTAACATAGTAATTGACAGCTAAGCTCATATAAATTCAAAACAATTTTTAAAAATGCATGCTTCTTCTAATATGTTATTTAATGAGATTTATTTTGTATCTAATAAACATTAAAAGGTACTATTTAGTGAGTTTTAGTAGATAACATAGACCTCTGAAGTCACTAAAACAATACAGAACATTTGTGTCACCCCTGTAGTTTCCTTATGCTCCTTTGTAGTCAATCTCACCTTGGCCTTAGGCAATCTTTTTATTGCTATAGGTTAGTTTGCATCTCCCCAAATTTCATAAATATGTAATCATACAGTATTCACTCTTTTGTGTTTCGCATATTTTATTCTCATAATTATATTGACATTTATACATGCCACATATATCAACAGTTTGCTCCTTTTTATATCAAAGAGTAGCATTTCATTGAATAGCTGTGCCATGCTTTGTTCATTTACTCATTCTGCTGATTAAAGATTGCGTTGTTTCCGAAGTTTTGTACCCTAGAGGAATATTCCATGGTAAGACTCAGTATTGGGGTATGCCTATGTTCAAATGAAAATGAAATCAGGTGTGAAAGGATAAGCAGTTTTGCTTATTGCCTAGACCACAGATCAGCTCTCAGTAGATATTGATCAGGAAAGGGAATATGCAGAGGCCAATAATCTAGAAATTTATTCACTTTCTAAAGTTATTTATAGCCAAGCTTCCACAGAATATTTCCAATGATGATTATTCCAAATAAACCAGAGCAATAAAAACATGCTTCCTGTTTGGTTATGTGTTCTTCATTGTCCCTTTCTTGCCATTTATTATTCTTTCAAAGCCTTAATTATTTGACATTCCGCTCCTATCTTAGTTCTTTCTTTTCTTAAAAATTTCCCTTGGCCTCTGAAGATTATTGAAATATTCATGTTCTACTGTCCAGAATATGAGTGAGTAGTCTACATTGTAAATGCCAGTTATATATTAGATTATCAATTGTGTACATTTTGAACAACTATATTTTAATGAAAATGATTAGCACTTTTATTAATAGAATGTAATCTCTAAAATAAAGAAATAAACTAAACAATGTCTACCAGAATGTAATTTGCAACTGCAACCTTGTTCTGTACTATGAAAGACAGAATTCATTCGTTATTCAGTGTGTCCTCATAACAGACGTATAGCATGAATATTATTGCACACAATTTAAAGATGGAAAAAATGACCAATTAAGTAATGTGTTCAACTTTAAAAAGTAAGGGTATTTTTCAGTGCCAGTCTGTGCATCAACAAAGACAGTTTGTAATCATTAGATCAGATTCTGTTTCTTATGAAATTCAATTTATTTGGGATTAGATATTTAATTTAAAATAATTTATTAGCATTTTAATAAACAATAAGTTAGTGTCTTTTGAGGTTTAGGCTTTGACATTAATTAATTACATATATTTAAATATAACAATAGTGTCAAGAAACTAAATAAAATTATATTCTGTTCACATTGTAATTCCCTATGTTAACTCAGAAATGATTTCTTTAGAAGATCCATGAGTAGACTTATATGCTGGGGACAAAGTGAAGAAGATTTCAACTTTGCACATGAACTGCAAAAATTTTAGTGGAATATATCAATAAAGTTATCACTTAGATGGATAATATTCTAAACTAATATCTACTAAAGCTGAAGATTAATCTTTCCTGGTGTTTCCCTAGTGATTATGGTGAGAAAAAGTGATTCTCAAGATGTATTAGAAAAAGTTGGGAAGAATTGAGCCTTTATTTAAATAAATAACTACAAATTATTTTAATATATAATGAGATCTAAATGCATATGTTTATTTATATTATTGGATTTAAATACTAAATTTCAGCACTATATATATCAATATTTTCTCTTCTCCTCTTACTTTTTAAAAACTGCTCATTGAAAACTTTTAAAGCAAGGTTTTAAAATTCTCTTCAGGCCTGAATAGCTGAGAAATATCCTTTGGATCTGCGTCAATCGAGTACCTTGTTATGGAATAAATTACGTTCCCTTAAAATTCATATCTTGAAGCTCTATCTCTCAGTGTGATTGTATTCAGAGATAGGATCTATACAGAAGTTATAAAGATTAAATAAAATTACAAGGGTGGGGCCTTAATCTAATAGGACTGTTATCCCAATAATAAGAAGAGACACCAGAGATCTCTATCTGTCCACATATTTACAAAGAAGCGTCCATCTGAGGACACAGTGAGAAGGAGACCATCTATAGGCCAAGGAGACAACCCTCACAGAGACTCAATTTATTGGCTCCTTTGTCTCAGATATCTAGCTGCTAAAATTTTGAGACAATAAATTATTTTTTTAAACCATTTCATCATTTTTAAAAATTTTATTATGGAAGCCCAAGCTGACTAACACATACCTATACTGAGAATAGCACTGGCAGAATGTATTCTATCATGCACAGAGTTAATATATCCTCCTATGGAGTCAAGTTTGTTTTGCTGTGAAATTCATCTGGAAACAATTTCCATTAAAAAATAATCATCTGCTTTCAATTCCACAGAAGTCTATATATGCTGGTATATTCATTAAATAATAGATTTCTGAAAATAAGAACAGTCTTAATTAGAATATAGCCTATTAGTCTGCTTTCTCAACTATAAATATAAACTTCCAAATTTCTAAGGGAGTATATACAAATATACATTTGTCACAGGTCATGAAGAACAATAATGTGTTCATTAATTTAAGTAATCATTTCCTAAATATCAATTATTTATAAAGCAGTAAAAAGACAGTAAAGATACATGTTGCAAAGCATCATGTAATTTGATATAAGATTAAAAAGTAGGATTAAAATATAATAGTAAAGCAGGAAAGACTGTGAAAATATTTGCCTGAACACAGCAATTCAGAATACTTGCACTACTAACAAAGAAATATTAGATTTATCTTTCTTTCTTTAAGTTACTTTTAGTTATTGGTTACCACATATAGTGCCATGTTTTAAAAACATTTTGAATACTTGTCTTAAACAGTGAGTGGTGTTATCTTCGTGAAGCTGTCAGATTTATTAGCTCTGGAAATATGTGTCTTTACCCAAAGCCAAAGAAGTAGTTGAGAATATTTTTATGTTCTTTTGGTGAAAAATAAACTGTGTTTTGATTAGTATAATCTTTGTTTATTTATATTGCGTAACTACAATGTTATGATATTAAAAGAAATAGCCTTTAAGGGAGAAAGTATATATTCTTTATTTCATTTTAAAATTCCATTAGTATTTCAGAGTAAGAAAACTTCTGAAATCGATATTTTGTATTTTTACACATTTACTAATGTTATATATTTGTCTTATTGTCATATATATGGAGTAGTAACTGTTGATTTGGATAATTCTGTAACCATTAAAAGTACATGTACCTAACACCTTTTCAGTTGGCATCAATAATATAAAACAATACGAAAGTCAAAGACTAAAAATGCCTCACCATGACCTAATTGTATGCTCTTACACTTCAGTTTTGGTTAATCACATCACTGTATTTGGTAAGAGAAAAAATAATGATAATAATCTCTTTTCAGCATATTCTAATATTTATTTGCTAGCATTTCAAGAGGTTGCATAACTTATCATTTGTTAATTGATATTCTAAGTGATAATTCAAAAGAATTTCAAGAGGCAAAAACATATTCAGACTCTTAATATTCAACTTGATTTTCTATATTAATAAAATGCAGTTGGACTTTGGGTTAGTGAATTTTACACATTTTATTACAAAGCAAACACCTCCTGATTCCACTCCAAAATGTTTAACTGAAAAGAGTAAATGTTAGGAGCTAGGGCTGGCTAAAATTGCACCTTTCTACAAGGATAATTTAACTATCATGATCTTAGTTTCCAAGAGAAAAAAATCAGGGCACTGAAAGATGAAGATGTTGCTTTTTGGCTTAGGATCCAAAAGTCCAGTATACAAATGCCCTTATTACACTAAGCTTGAAAATATCAAGAAAACCAAATAAAGAGAAAAGAAAATGTATAAACAATATAGACATTCACTTATCATGTAAGCGTTGTTTACTATTTCACACACACCATGTCAGGCATTGGGGCTCCAACTCTGAGTAAAGCAGACATGGTGTTAGAGAATCAAATATTTTAGAAACAGATAGCTGTGGGATTTCATGTAATTCCACAAATGAAGGATACACTAAAATCTGAATGCAAAGTAGAAATTAGCAGAGGAAAGAAGGAAGCAAGATGGTTTCTAGAGGGAGAAGAACATGCAAAACCAGAGACAAAAACAAGGATCTCACGCTGGCAAGATGAATCACAATAACAACTCTGAAGGCAAGAGGATTGGTGCTAAGAGTGAAACTAAAGAAGCAGGCAGAGAAAAGCTTTGGAATTTCTATGTTCAATTTTGGATTTTATCCTAAAGGTAAGAGAGCATCATGGAATTATTTTAGGTATGGAAATATGCATTCCAATTTAAAATTTAAAGTTAGCACTCTGGCTGTTATTGTTGATATATGTATGATAAGATTGGGTTGGAGAATAAAATAGAGCGAGGTAGAAAATTTGGGAAGCTCATGCAGAAATTTTAAAAAGTGATATTTTTCTGACATAGGATAAAATGTGAAAAGGGCTCAGATTTGAGAGACTTATAGATTGTTAGGTTAAAAAGATTTGATAAGTTACTGTAAAGGAACTGAGAGAGAAAGAGAGTCTAATACATTCCCAGGTTTGAGGCTTTGGGCTTTTGGGTAGATTATGATGCCATTTACCAGACAAAAAAAAATTATAACTTTAAAACTTGGAAAAAAGTTTTAAAGTTTGAAGAGGAGCAGAAGATAGTATACATGTGGATCTTTTACTTTTGAGTGCAGAATCATGAGTCATGCATGTTGAAGTAAGCAGTATGTATACATTTTAATGAAATCTAGGAGATGAGTTAATGAACAAGGCTTTGGACTCAGACTTCCTGTCAGAGTTCAGCTCTTTTCTAGCTGCTTTCTGAGTTAATTTCCATAATTTTCCTGTACTGCTGCTTTCTCCTTTTAAAAACAAATACTTTTTAATGATCGCCATTCAAACTGGTGTGAGATGGTATCTCATTGTGTTTTTGATTTGCATTTCTCTGATGGCCAGTGATGATGAGCATTTTTCATGTGTTTTTCGGCTGCATAAATGTCTTCTTTTGAGAAGTGCCTGTTCATATCCTTCACCCACGTTTTGATGGGGTTGTTTGTTTTTTTCTTGTAAATTTGTTTGAGTTCATTGTAGATTCTGGATATTAGCCCTTTGTCAGATGAGTAGGTTGCAAAAATTTTCTCCCATTTTGTAGGTTGCCTGTTCACTCTGATGGTAGTTTCTTTTGCTGTGCAGAAGCTCTTTAGTTTAATTAGATCCCATTTGTCAATTTTGGCTTTTGTTGCCATTGCTTTTGGTGTTTTAGACATGAAGTCCTTGCCCATGCCTATGTCCTGAATGATTGCCTAGGTTTTCTTCTAGGGTTTTTATGGTTTTAGGTCTAACATGTAAGTCTTTAATCCATCTTGACTTGGAACCAACCCAAATGTCCAACAATGATAGACTGGATTAAGAAAATGTGGCACATATACACCATGGAATACTATGCAGCCATAAAAAATGAAGTAAGTGTTCATGTCCTTTGTAGGGACATGGATGAAACTGGAAACCATCATTCTCAGCAAACTATAGCAAGGACAAAACCCAAACACCACATGTTCTCACTCATAGGTGGGAATTGAACAATGAGAACACATGGACACAGGAAGGGGAACATCACACTCTGGGGACTGTTGTGGGGGGGGGTGGTGGGCAGGGAGGGATAGCATTAGGAGATATACCTAATGCTAAATGACGAGTTAATGGGTGCAGCACACCAACATGGCACATGTATACATATGTAACAAACCTGCACATTGTGCACATGTACCCTAAAACTTAAAGTATTATAATAATAATAATAATAATAATAATAATAACAAATACTGAAACATCCTTTTTGAGAAAACATCAAATAATAAACCATGCTGGCAGGGGCCTTAGAATGAGAGACTGGGCCGGCTTTCACTGAGGCTTTGACTGGACTCTGGGGCTAGGATCATGGTGGTGGTCTAGCCCGGGTAGAGGCAATGCCAAGAACAAAGAGTGGCTCCTGGTCACCATCGTGGGCTGCCTGGTCAAGGACATGAAGAGCAAGTCTTTGGAGGTTATCTATCTCTTCTCTCTGCTCATCAAGAAGTCTGAGGTCATTGACTCTTTTCCGGTGGCATCCGTTAAGGATGAGGTTTTAAAGATTATGTCCTGCAAAAGTAGATCCTCATTGGCCAGTAGACCAGGTTCAAAGCATTTGTTGCCATTGGAGACTATAATGGCCACATTGACCTTTGTGTTCAGTGATCCATGGAGGTACCACCCCTCTCCATAAAGCCATTATCCTGCCTAGGGTCTCCATTATCCCCTTGTGACAAGGTTATTACTGGGAGAACAAGAACAGCAAGCCCACTCCCCACCTCCACCTCCTTGCTAGGTGACCAGCTGCTATTCTGCTTCTCTGGTGGACCCCATCCTTGCCTCTGGGGGAATTAGTATCATCTAAGGCCTATACCCAGAAGCTGCTGCTGATAATCTCTATGGTTGACTGCTACATCTTGGCCAGGAGCTGCACTGGTCACCATGGACAACTCCATCAAGGCCACCTTTGATGACATCTCGAAGACCTAGAGTTATCTCACTATCCAACCCACGGAAGGAGACCATATTCACTAAGTCTCCCTGTCAGGAATTAACTGCCTGTATTGTAAAGACCAACACCAGAGTCTCCAGGCCAAAGAACCTAGTCAGGTTCTAGCTGTAGCCGCCTTGTAGCACTTTTATACAAAAATAAATAAATAAATAAATAATGAAATAATGAAATAATGAGAATTACTTCAAAAAGTTGTTTGAAACTTAACTGAGAAATAAATGTGATGTCAAGCACAATGTGTCAAAACAAATCAGTACATATTTATTTTATAGATTTTTTAGAAGCTCTATGATGAGATTATGAAGCTAGAAGTTAAAGTTTTATTATTAAGAGCAAAAATGATATTATTTAAGTTATGAGAATGAAGTAGATCACATAGAAAAAGCTGAGAATGAGGTTTTTAGGAAGATTATCACAAAACCGGGACGAATATTATTTTAGTGGCATTTTTGAAGTGTGATATCATGGAATCCAAGAAAAAGGAACATTTTGAAAAGACAATGATGTGGAGAATCAAATGCCACTAACAGTTAATGCTAAAAAATGAGGATTGTCCTTACTGTAGCAATAGGGATTTTTTCAATATAGAGAGAAAACCTGAGTAGCGAGTGGTAAGAAGGGGACAGAAAGTGCAAATACAGACAATTCTTTGGAGAAGTTTGTGTTTGAAGAAAAAATAAGAGATAGATTGCAGGGGAGCTAAAAAAGGAAGTAGTACATTTAGTAGGAGAAAATAAAGTCAATGTTATTAACTTAAAATAATACATCATGTTTCCAATAGTTTTTTAATATTTAAAATTATTTTCTAAATTATACAAATGATCAAAGAATCATTCATTCTTGTTTAATGTTATATACATAATAGATTACTTTAGGTCAAGGTTTTCTAAATTGGAGTTTTGGGATCCTCCCAACATGTATTTGATGACAGATAGTCGTTGTCAAATAAAATTTGTTTACAACCTTGAAAACATAATTTGGGATTTTTTAACCTAGGCAATTCAAAATAATGAATTTCATTTTCTTTACATTTTCTTGGCTTACTGATCATTTAAATTTCTGATATTGACATTTGCCAGATCAAAATTTTTGCCCAAATTTAGAATCTTATCTTTCTTATTATTTGTAGATATTCTGTTTATAGTCTGATAATATTTATAATTTATTTATAATAAAAAATCTATTTTTCCAAAGTCATGGTTGATTTTTAAATGTTATATGTTGCCTTTATGTAATTTCAATTTTACCTAATTTAATGTAAAGTTTTTTCTTCTGCTTCTTTGTCTGTATGATAAAGGCACTTTTCTGTTTTTTTTTTAAATATGTTCTGTAGATATCAATTACGAACATCAATCTTTTGACCTAAAAGTGTCATGAAATAAAATGCTTCCAACTTTAAAAATAAAAATCTAAAAGTTTGAGAATTAAAAGAAGTAAACAACAAAGATTCTAGTTGTTCTTTTTTTTTAATTTTGCTGGGTACATAGTAGGTGTATGTATTTATGGGGTACATGAGATATTTTGATACAGGCATACAATGCATAATAACCACATCAGGGTAAATGAAGTATCCATCACCTCAAGTATTTATCTTTTCTTTGTATTACAAACAATCCAATGATACTCTTTTAGTTATTTTAAAATGTACAATAAATTATTGTTGACTGTAGTCACCCTGTTGTGCTATCAAATACTGTATCTTATTCATTCTATGTAACTACATTTTTGTATGCATTAACCATCCCCACTTTATCTCCTGCCTCCCCCCTGGCCACTACGCTTCACAGCCTGTGGTAACCGTCATTTTGCATTCTGTCTCCATGAGATCAATTTTTGTTTTAATTTTTTGGCTACCACAAATGAGAACATGCAGAATTTATCTTTCTGTGCTTTGCTTATTTCACTTAAAATGATGATCTCCAGTTTCATCCATGTTGTTGCAACTGACAGAATCTCATTCTTTTAATAGCTTAATAGTACTCCATTTTATATATGTACCATATTTTCTTTATCCATTCATCTTTTGATGGACACTTTGGCTGCTTTCAAATCTTGGCTACTGTTAATGCTGAAATAAACATGGGAGTACAAACGTCTCTTCACTAACCTGATTTTCTTTCTTTTGGGTATATACCTAGCAGCGGGATTGCTGGATCTTATTTTTAACTATTTTTAACTGTTCGAGAAACCTCCAAGATGTTCTCCATAGTGATTGTACTAATGTACATTCCCCTGAACAGTGTACAAAGTTTCCCTTTTCTTCACATCCTTACCAGCATTTGTTATTACTTTTGGATAAAAGCCATTTTACCTGGAGAAAGATCATATCTCATTGCAGTTTTAATTTGACTTTCTGTGATAATCAATGACTTTGAACAATCTTTTCATATACCTATTTGCCTCTTGTATGACTTAATTTTAAAAATGCCTATTGAGATTTTTTTCCCATTTTAAATTCAGATTAATAGATCATTTTTTCTATTGAGTTGAGTTTCTTATATGTTCTGGTCATTAATCCTTTGTCAGATGCATAGCTGTCAAATGTTTTCTTCCATTCTGTGGGTTGTCTCTTCACTTTGTTGATTGTTTCCTTTGTTTTGCAGAGGCTTTTAACTTGATATAATCCCATTTGTCCATTTTTGCTTTGATTGTCTGTGCTGGTGGTATATTACTCAGCAAACCTTTGCCCAGTTCAATGTCCTTAAGAGTTTTCCAAATGTTTGCTTTTAATAGTTTCATAGATTGAAGTATTATATTTAAGACTTTAATCTAGTTTGATTTGATTTTTTATATGACAAGAGATAGGGGTCTAGATTCATTCTTCTGCAAACGGATATCAAGTTTCTCACCACCATTTATTGAAAAGATTGTCCTTTCTAGAAAGTATGTTGTTGACACCTTTATCAAAAATTAATTGAGTGTAGATGTATGAATTTATTTCTGGGTTCTCTATTCTGTTCCGTTGGTCTATGTGTCTGTTTTTATGCCAGTATAATGCTGTTTTGATTACCATAGCTCCATAGTATAATTTAAAATAAGGCAACAAGATTCCTTCTGTTTTGTTCTAATTGCTCTGGATAGCTTAGTCTATTCTGTGTCTTTTGTGGTTCCATATGCAATTGAGGATTACTTTTTCTATTTCTGTGAAGAATGTCATTGGTATTTTAAAAGGGATTGCATTGCATCTGTATATTGCTTTGGGTGGTATGGACATTTTAACAATATTGATTCTTCCAATCCATGAATATGGAAAATCTTTCCTTTTTTTGGTGTCTTCTTCAATTTTTTGCATCAATGTTTTACAGTTTTTATTGTAGAAATCTTCACCTTCTTTGGTTAAGTTTATTTCTAGGTATTTTATTTGTAACTTTTGTCAATTGGATTACTTTCTTGGCTTCTTTTATAGATTGTTCAGTGTTGGTAAATAGAAATACTACTTATTTTTCTATGTTTGTTTTGTATCCTGTAACTCACTTAATTTGTTCATCAATTCTAACAGTTTTTTTGGTGAAGTTTTTAGGTTTTTCCAAATATAAGATTATATTATCTGTAAACAAGGATAATTTGACTTATTTCTTTCCAATTTGGATGCCCTCTATTTCTTTTTCTTGTCTGATAGCTCTAGCTAGGATCTCTAGAACTATGTTGAATAACAGGGTAGAAAGTGGACATCCTTGTCACATTCCAGAATATAGATGAAAGGCTTTTAATTATTTCCCATTCAGTATGATACTTGCTGTGGGTCTGCTGTATATGACTCTTATTGTGTTGAGGTATATTTTTTCCATACTGAATATTTTGAAGGTTTTCTTTTTATCATAAAATGATGCTTAATTTTATCAAATACTTTTCCAGCATCAATTAAAATGATATGGTTTTGTTCTTCATTTTAATGATATGATGTATTACATCAATGATAAAATATCTGCATTTCTGAGATAAATCCCTCTTGTTCATGATGAATGAACTTTTTAATATGTTGTTGAATTTGATTTGCCTGTATTTTGTTGAGGATTTTTGCATCAATATTCATCAGAAATATTGACTTGATGTGTCTTTGTCTGTCTTAATATAAGGGTAATACTGCCTTGTAGAATGAGTTTGAAAGCATTTCCTCTTCTCCATTTTTCAGAATAGTTTGAGTAAGATCGATGTTAGTTCTTCTTTAAATGTTTGGGAAAGTCAGCAATGAAGGCATTGGAACCTGTTTTTTGTTTGTTTGTTTGTTTGTTTTTTAACTGAGAGACTTTTTATTATAGATTTGATCTCATTTCTTGTTATTAATCTCCTCAGATTTTATATTTCTTTTTTTTTTTTTTTTTTTTTTTTCTTGAGACGGAGTCTCGTTCTGCTGCCCAGGCTGGAGTGCAGTGGCACCATCTCGGCTCACTGCAAGCTCCGCCTCCCGGGTTCACGCCATTCTCCTGCCTCAGCCTCCCGAGTAGCTGGGACTACAGGCGCCCGCCACCACGCCTGGCTAATTTTTTGTATTTTTATTAGAGACGGGGTTTCACCGTGTTAGCCAGGATGGTCTCGATCTCCTGACCTCGTGATCCGCCCGCCTTGGCCTCCCAAAGTGCTGGGATTACAGGCGTGAGCCACCGCGCCCGGCCAGATTTTATATTTCTTCACAGTTCAATATTGTTAGGTTGTATGTGTCTAGAAATTTATCCATTTCTTCTTTTTTTCAATTTATTGGCATATATTTGCTCTTAGGAGCTATTAATGATACATTAAATTTCTGTGGTATCTATTGCAATGTTTACTTTTTCATCTCTGGTTTTATTTATGTGAATCTTTTCTCTTTTTTTCTTTAGCCAGGCTAAAGTTTTCTCACATGTTTATTTTTCAGAAAATCTATTTTTTGTTTCATTTTTCTTTTTTTGTTTACTTTTCATTTATTTATATTCTGATCTTTATTATTTCATTTATTCTACTAACTTTGGATTTGGTTTGTTCTTGATTTTCTAGTTCTTTAAGATATATTGTTAGATTGTTTTCTTGAAGTTTTTCTATCTTTTTGATATAGACACTTATTGATATAATCTTTCCTCTATTGCTATATACCATATGTTTTGAAATGTTGTGTTTCCATTTTCATTTGTTTCATGAATTTTAAAAAATTTCCTTCTTAATTTCTTTGTTGACCCACTGTATATTCAGGAGTATATTGTTTAATTTCCATATATTTTAAATTGTTTAATTTCCAAATATTTTAAAATTTCTCTTGTTATTGATTTCTAGTTTTATTCCATTGTAATGAGAGAAGATATTTGATATTCTTTCAACTTTTTTACTTTTTTCCCATGTGTTTTGTGTCCTAACATAATGTATATCCTCACAAATGATCCTTGTGTTAAGGAAAATAATGTGTGTTCTGCAGCCATTGGATGAAATGTTCTGTAAGGATCTATTAGATCCATTTGGTCTGTAGTGCCGATTAAGTACAATGTTTCTTGTTGAGTTTCTGTCTGGAAGATCTGTCAAAGGCTGAAAGTGGGATATTGAAGCCTTCAGCTATTATTTTATTGGGACACATCTCTCTCTTTAGCTGTAATAATATTTGCTTGTATATCTGGGTGCTCCAGTGTTGGGTACATATATATTTGAAATTGTTACGGCCTCTTCCTTAATTGACCCCTTTATCATTATATAGTGACCTCTTTGTCTCTTCTTTTAGTTTTTGTCTTGAAATCTATTTTGTCTGATATAATGATAATTACTCCTGCTCTTTTTCCACTTTCATTCTCATGGAATATCTTTTTCCATCCCTTTAATTTCAGTCTATGTGTATCTTTATAGGTGAAGTGTGTTTCTTGTAGGCAACAGGCCAATGGGTCTTGTTTTTATTATTTTTTTTCTTTAATCCATTAAGCCATTCTATGTCTTTTGACTGAAAATCTAGTCCATTTACTTTCAATGTTATTATTGACAAGTAGGACTTGTTCCTGCCATTTTGTTATTTGTTTTCTAGTTGCTTTGTGGTCTTTTCTTCTTTCTTTCCTTTCTTCCTGTATTCCTTTTAGTGAAGGTAATTTGGTAGTATGTTTTAATTTGCTGCTTTCTAATTTTGTGTGTCTGCTCATTAATGTCCTTTTTTATTCAAACTGAAGTGTTTTGTTTAGTATTTCTTGTAGGACAGTTCTAGTGTTGATGAAATCCCTTAGTTTTTGCTTGCTTGGGAAAGTCTTTATTTCTCCTTCACGTTTGAAGGCTATTTTCACTGGATATACTATTCTAGGATAAGAGTTTTATTTTTTTTTCCATCAGATTTTTAAATATGTCATACCACTCTCTTCTAGCCTTTAAGGTTTCCACTGAAAAGTCTGCTGTCAGATGTACTGGAGCTCTCTTGTACGTTATTTGTTTCTTTTCTCTTGCTGGTTGTAGGATCCTTTCTTTATCTTTGGACTTTGGGCATTTGATTATTAAAGTTTTGAGGTAGTCTTATTTGGTTTAATCTACTTGTTATTCTATAACCTTGTTGTACTCAAATATTGATATGTTTCCCTCGGTTGGGGAAGTTCTCCATGATTATCCATTTGAATAAACTTTCTACCCAGATCTCTCTCTCTCTCTCTTTACCTCCTCTTAAAGACCAATAACTCTTATGCTTGCCCTTTTAAGCCTATTTTCTGGATCATGTAGGTGTGTTTCATTCTTTTTCAGTCTTTTCTTCTTTAGTCTCCTTTGACTGTGTACGTTCAAACAAACTTCTCTCAAGCTCACTATTTTTTTCTTCTGCTTAATCATTTCTAAGAGACTCTAATGCATTCTTCAGTATGTCAATTACATTTTTAGCTCTATAATTTCTGTTTGATTTTATTTATTTGAATGATTTTTGTTAAATTTATCCAATAGAATTCTGAATTTCTTTTCTGTGTTATCTTGTATTTTGTTGAGCTTCCTCAAACATCTATTTTGAATTCTCTGTCTGAAATGTCACATATCACTGTATCTTCAGAATTGGTTTTTGGTGACTTATTTAGTTCATTTGGTGAGGTGTTTTTAGCCCAGCACAGCACCAGGACTTGCCCAGAAACTGCTATCCTTGTGGTTGAGAGTGCCTTTCAATCTTATTTAGCACTCCAAAACACTTTAGCTCGTGGTAAAGGGGCTTGCTGGAATTCAGGTTCTAACTGTTGGGATGGATGATTAGCCTCTTGCTAGGGCTTGTCTAAATGCTCCCTCCTTGGGTGCTGGCTGAGTTCTACTCTCTGTTGCTTTCCTCTGTGATAGGGCGGCATTGGGTTCCAATGCAAAGTCCCAGATTCTCTCTCCATGCCATGTGACTGTTGCTGGCAGGGATGGGCCAGGGGTGGCATAAGTGGTTCAAGACTTTCTTTCCTACCCTCTTCAGTGTCTCTTTCCTTTATATTATGTTAAAACCAGGTACTATAATCAATTACTTGATTTTTTATTCTGATGAAGGTGCTTTTTTTGCATGGATTTGCTCAGTTTGGTGGTCCTGCAGGGGTGACCATCACTCGGGGCTTCTATTTGGCCATATTACTCCCTAGTTTGTCTTTTTTATAACTCCCAATTTCTGTCAGTCCACTAATCTGTTCATTAAGCTCCTTTTCACCTTGTTTTATATTCTTGACTCATTATTTGTGATATTTAAGACATTTATTTTAAATTTTCAATGCTTGTTTCTGTAACCTTTGTTATTTATTGGGTCCTTTAATCTGTAAATATGATGATCAACTACTCATCTTTGTCAATAGCCACTCTTCAAATTAGAACCTTTCATGTGATTTCTGGCTATGGAATCCACTTTTCCCACTAAAATTATGAGTATGTCTATAGATTTTCCAGTCTTTGTCTCTGGCCCTGTACTAGATTTCTTCGTCGTATCGGTACAGATCCATTTGAAAGTCAATGAGAATGAAGAAATAGACTATCTCTTAACTGACAAATGGTTATTGAACTTTATTGGTGTATGTGCTAAATACCAAGTTAAATATTCTCTGTGGTCAGTCTCCTGGGGAAAGAGAAATATATATGTATGAGTCTCTGCCATAAATAAGCTCAATAAATTTATGATGCATGAGATATATGCAAGAATATTTACAATACAAGGTATGTTAGAAATAAAACTGTGAAAGTTTATAGAAAGCAAAAAATGCGATAACTGCAGGACCACAAAAGGTTCATTTTTCATCCAAGACCAAAGTAGGTGAATCAAAAGCAGGGAAAGGAAAGAAAATGTTTTACAAGTGCACTGAAGCACAGCTGTAGACAAATGGGAAGGAGCAGCGGCTGATAGACCAGTCTGACAAAGAGCTACAGGGGCAAAAGCTTTAGGCCCACTCTAAATCTAAGAAAATAGCAAAGAACAACAAGTTCTGAAAATAGTGACTAAAGTTCTGCATTTAAAAAGCCTGAATGTGCTCACAGAGAGGTGAAGGTTGTTGTATTTGTTTCTGTCATACATACATAGTAATTGATGTCTCTCAATTACCTGATATTTGAAAATATACAATATATATTCATGGTTATAGACATTTACACAGGTATCTATTCTGTAAAAGCAATATATTAAGAGTAATATGCACATTTGAAGATAGCGTATGTAATCAAAAAGAACATAAAATGTTCAACCTTTCAATATGGCCTCGGTTTAGTTTTTAGTGAAATTTAAGAGCTCTAACTTAATTAGAATAGCAAATCAATAAGTCATCTTTGGATATTATCATGATTCATCTCTTAAATCTTATCAGTGAGACAACATGAAAAATGTTGTCCTCGATTCTGCTGACCTCGATTCTTAACTGATTTCCACCATCATTACTTATTTTGGAGAAGGAATTCACTATGGATCTGGATTGAAGAAAACAAGCAAGTAAGCAAGGTATGAATAAACATAAAATATATATGTAATTGTCTAGACTGGAAAAAAGTTTTATCCTGATAGAACTCAGGTAGGAAAAATGTATTAACCTCAAAACAACAAAAATATTATATTATTATATGATAATTACTAAATAATAATAATTAATTATTTGGGTTTGGTTTGTTCTTGTTTCTCTAACTCCTTGAGGTGTGACCTTAGATTGTCTGTTTGTGCTCTTTCAGACTTTCTGATGTAGGCATTTAATGCTATAAACTTTCTTCTTAGCACAGCTTTTGCTGTCTCCCAGAGGTTTTGATAGGTTGTGTCACTGTTACCATTCAGTTTGAAGAATATTTTAATTTCCATCTTGACTTCATTGTTGACCCAAAGATCATTCAGGAGCAAGTTATTTAATTTCCATTTGTTTTCATGGTTTTGAGTGTTCCTTTTGGAAAATTGATTTCCAATTTTATTTTACTGTGGTCTGAGAGAGTACTTGCTATAATTTTAATTTTCTTAAATTTTTGACACTTGTTTTGTGACCTACCATATTGTGTCTCTTGGAAAATGTTCCATATACTGATGAATACAATTTATATGCTGCAGTTGTTGGGTAGAATGTTCTGTAAATATCTGTTAATTCCATTTGTTGTAGGGTATAGTTTAAGTTGATTGTTTGTTAACTTTCTGTCTTGATGACCTATCTGGTACTGTCAGTAGAGTATCCTCCAATATAGAGTACTGAATCCTCCACCATTATTGTATTGCCATCTATCTCATTTCTTAGGTCTAGTTGTAGTTATTTTATATATTTTGGAGTTTCAGTGTTAGCTGCATATATATTTAGGATTGTGATATTTTCCTGTTGGACTAGTACTTTTTTCATTACAGAATGTCCTTCTTGGTTTTTGTCTTTTTTAACTGTTGTTGCTTCAAAGTCTGTTTTGTCTGATGTAAGAATAGCTACTCCGGCTCCCTTTTGGTGTCTATTTGCATGGAATATCTTTTTCCACCTCTTCACCTTGAATTTATGTGAGTCCTTATGTATTAGGTGAGTCTCTTGAAGACAGCAGATACTTGGTTGGTGAATTCTTATCCATTCTGCCTTTCTGTATCTTTTAAGTGAGAATTTAGGCCATTTGAAGTCAATGTTAGTGTTGAGATGTGAGGTATTATTCTATTCATTGTGCTAGTTTTTGCCTGAATACCTTGTTTTTTTCCATTGTGTTGTTTTATACACCATGTGAAATTTATGCTTTAAAGAGGTTCTCCTTTGGTGTATTTTGAGGTTTTGTTTCAATATTTAGAACTCTCTTTGGCATTTCTTGTAATGCTGGTTTGAATCTTGATAATGGCCTTATAAGGAAGGTGCTATTATTTCACTGTTTAGTAGACACTGAAACTAAATCTTAGTGAAAATCAGCAATCTTTGTAAGATCACACAGTTTGTGACGGTGTCTATATATCTTATCTTTGGAGTTATCTGCTTTCTAGGCCAAAGGCCTGGAAAAAGGGAATCCCAACAAGGACCTAGCAGGGAATCCCAAACTCTCACCCCAAACTCAGAGGATGGTCTGATTTATCATCAGCAATGGTGGCAGAGAAGCCCCTAATCCTTTCAGCTCATGCTCCATAAATGTGCCCTGGTAGGTTGTATGATCTCTTTGCAATGGCAGCAGCAAAGAACCAAGCCATTCCAACTTCCATTTGGCAACTTGGCCTAGAGGTCTGGCTGCTTGCAGTATCAAGTACCGGCACCAGCAAAGCTCTAACTGTCCCAGTGCCTGCTGCTCCACAGCTGGGTCACTTGCAAGTGATCTGATTCCCAAGCAGCAGCCCTGAACAGTAGCAACAGTAAAGCCCCTAGCTATTCTAGCCCCTGGTCCAAAGCCAGAAACAGGGACAGGAGAATCAGAGGTAAGGAAAGAAACAGTGTTCCCATAAATTAAACTCACAGTTTTAGCAACAGCAAAACTTCATGTCTTTCTAATCTACACCCAATGGCTTAAGGAGACCCAGGCCCAGTGGCTTCTGTCTCACCTACCCCAGGAAGGTCACCTAACAACAGAAAAGCCTAGGGAAGCAATTTCTGCCCTCACAGATGGAACCAGCAGGGATCTAATAAGAATCCCATCAGCACCAAAAGATTGAAATGGACTAGAATATTATTGTAAGAGCTCTGAAAAATTAATTGTCATTGGGGGTAAAACCCACAAAGATTGGCCAGAATCTATAAACTAAA
This sequence comes from Homo sapiens, assembly GCF_000001405.40. Lineage (NCBI taxonomy): Eukaryota > Metazoa > Chordata > Mammalia > Primates > Hominidae > Homo > Homo sapiens. Next base: position 85,774,267 of record NC_000005.10, read on the forward strand.
CCTAAACATGATGATTGCTTGTTAAAGAATGTAGCTGGATTTAAGATTTAGATAGAGTGAAGAGTCTCTCACCTTAATTACCAGAATGTTCACCTGCTCATACAAAGAACTGAGAAAACCATAATTTAAAACAGAAGACAACCAACAGATGCCAATACCAAGATAAATAAGATGTTGGAACTATCTAACAAGAATTTTAAGCAACTACCTTAAAATGCTTCAATGATCAATTATAAATTCTCTTGAAACAAATTTAGAAATTAGAAAATGTAAGCAAATAAATAGTTGTAAAAAATACTAAATGGCTGAGTTAAATAAGATAGGCACAGAAAGACAAATACTGCATAATGTCACTTGAATATGAAATGTATAAAAGTAGAACTCATAGAAGTAGAAAGTAGAATAGTGGTCACCAGAAGCTAGAAGAGCAGATAATGGGGAGGTGGTAAAAGGGTACAAAATTAGTTATGTGAAATAATTATTTTTTCAGTTTATTGCATAAAAATAATAAGTTTATGAGGTGATTGATATTTTAATTTGACTTAATCATGTAACAATGTATACATATATCAAAACATCATATTGTACCCAATAAATATATACATTTTTATTTGCCAATTTAAAAGAAATGAACAAGAACTAAGTGGAAATAAAATAACTAAATACAATAACTGAATTTAAACATTCACTGTACAAATATATGAGTTTATTAATGTCACAGGATATAAGGTAAACACACGAAAATCAGTTGCATTCCTATATGATAAACAACAAAAAAATCTAAATTTTAAAAAAGTGTGATACCATTTACAATGGCTCCAAGGAAAACTTTTATAGAAATCTAAACATGGGCATTATCTGTATGATGAAATTACAAAATGCAATGAACAAAATTAGTGAAGATCTACATAAATGTAGATAAATGCAATGCTCACTGACTAGAAGATTCAACAGAACAAAGAAATTGATTCATTTGAAATCATCAATGGGTTCAATGCAATCCCTATCAAAATATCAGAAAGAATTTTTGTAGACATAGACAAGCTTATTCAATACTTTATATCAAGAGCAATAACAGGCCGGGTGTGGTGGCTCACACCTGTAATCCCAGCACTTTGGGAGGCCGAGGAGGGTGGATCACCTGAGGTCAGGAGTTAGAGACCAGCCTGACCAACATGGAGAAACCCTGTCTCTACTAAAAATACAAAATTAGCCGGGCGTGGTGGTGCATGCCTGTAATCCCAGCTACTCGGGAGGCTGAGGCAGGAGAATCGCTTGAACCTGGGAGGTGGAGGTTGAGGTGAGCTGAGATTGTGGCATTGCACTCCAGCCTGGGCAACAAGAGCAAAAAACTCTGTCTCAAAAAAAAAATTATATATATATATATATATATATATATATATATATATATATATATATATATATATATATCAAGAGCAATAACAATTTTGAAAGAGAAGTGTGAAGTGGGAGCAGTCAGACTTCCACTGTTGAGGCTTTCTATACAGCTCCATAATCCTGACACTGTGATATTTTTGGAGGGATGGACACATAGATCAATGAAACAGAATAGACAGCCCAGAAATAGAAACACACAAACATGCCCAATTAAATGTTGTCAACCAAAAGCAATCCAAGGGAAACAAAATAGCCTTTTTGATAAATGGTGGTGAACTGGACATGAACAGTTAAAACTAAACTTTTCCATAACCTCATATCTTATTTAAAAAGTTAACTCAAAATAAGTCCTTAGTACCCAAATACATAAAACGTCTAGAAAAAGTACAGGAAAACCTTCTTTACTTAGGAGTAGGCAAGAGCTCTTAGAATTGACACCAAAGCATGGTTTATAAAAGAACAAATTGATCATTTAGATTTCATGAAAATTTAAAACTTTCGATCTACAAAATACCCTGTTAAGAGGATAAAAAGTCAAAGACTGAAAGATCATATTTGCAAACCACATATCTGACAAATTATTTGTACCTGGAATATATTTAAAAACTCAAATCTCTAATAATTTTAAAAAGCAATCCAATGGAAGATGGGCACAAAACATGCACATATATTTCAGCAAAAAGATATACAGTTGTTAAGTAAACTTATGAAAACATGTTCAGTGTCTTTCACTATTACAGAAATGCAAGTTAAACCGCAATGAGATATCATTGTATACCTATCAGAATGACTAAAATTAAAGTAAATTAAAAATGGTGATAATAATGTTGGTGAAGATCACTAATATATAGCTTATGGGAAAGTAAAATGGTTAAGCCACTCTGGCAGTTCTTTTAAAACTACAAATAAACATCCCATATGTATTATTCAGGATTCTCTAGAGAAAGGGGACCAATAGGATATATTGGCAGGAGCTGATGTGGTAGTCTTAACATAGAATTTCTCTATTTCTGGGAAACCTGTTTTTGGACTTAAGGCCTTCAACTGATCTGAAGAGACAACCTACATTAATTGAGGCCAATCTCCATTACTCAAAATCGACTGAATGTTGATGTTAACATCTATATATCTTCACAGCAACACTTCGATTAGTATTTAATTAAATTATGGGTATGATACCTAGCCAAATTGATACATGAAAATAATCACCGTACCATATGGCCCAGCAATTGCATTTTTACACATATGTCAGTTAAATGAAAAATTATTTCCCCAAAACACTTGTACACTAATATTCAAGGCACTCAATTTGTCATACACAAAATCAAGAAACTACCAAAATATCCTTCAATGGATGAATGGCTAAATAAACTGTGAAACATCTATATCATGAAATACTACTTATCAAAAATTATTATTTTGATGATATTAATATAAGCAACCACTTGAAGAAATCTCAAAGAAGGAATGCTGAGTGAAAAAAGGCCAACCTCAAAAAGATACATTCATCTTTATTTGTAGAAGATTCATGAAATAACAGTTATAGAAATGGAGAACAGATTGTTGGGTTCTACAGGCTAGGGATTAGGGAACTGTGGATGTTACTATTAAAGGGGTACCCCAAGGAAGTTTGTAGTGATGGTTTAGTTAAGTACCTCGATTATGGTGGTGGTTACACAAAGCTACACATGACAAAATTGTGTAGATACATACACACACACACACACACGAGAAGAGTGTAAAGGTAACTGGTGGAATGTGCATAAACTGTGTGGATTACACCCATGTCGATTTTCTGTTTTTGATATCTTACTAGAGTTATGCAAGACGTTAACTCTTGGAGAACCTAGCTAAAGGGTACATAGGGCCTCTCTGTGTATTTATTTCTATCTTACTGTGAATCAATTACTATTTCAAAATAATATTGTTTTAAAGTGAATACAGAATAATAAGTACTAACTTAATACGCACAAAAGATCTACAGCTGTTCCTTACCAGGTTGTTTCATCTGTGTTGTTTACCTATATGATACATAAGCTTCAAAACATTTTGTTTAAATAAGAAATCTAGCATTCCACAGTAGATGTAAAAATTCCCTCTCAAGGAAAGACGATACACATAAGTAGGGAGTGAGATTAGCAGATAGCCTCCAACTGTGAGTTTTTTCAGCATAGGCATCAACTGCAAAGAATTGCTTTTTCAGAAGTCTCACTTCATCCAAGAAAGGCTTCATCCACTGACTAAGTGAGGAAGGGATATAAAGGCTGGCCATATTGAATACTATTCTAATGAGAGCTCCTTGCAGGCTGCATGAGAGTTTACTGGGCCTGCATCGCTTCTTTTCACAAGTGTTCCTGCCTAATAAGCATCCTACCCTCCCCACCCCAAAAGAAAATACGTGAGCATGATGCACTGGATGTTTAAATTAGGGCAAATACACCTGACAAAAAATTGTGTAGCTACCTAAAGGTATGTTTTTAAAAAAGTAATTACTCGATTAATATTTATTTTATAATGCTAAATAAAATTACTATAAACATCGTAAGATTACTGATATTAAGTATATGTACACCAAGAAAATAAATACACAATTATATAAATAACACCTATTTCTAAATAGTAATGTATTATTTGCATTCTAGATTCTATATTTTATGAAACTTTATCCCTTTTTTATACTAATCATAAATTGTTCTTTTAATTAGAAAAAAATGGAGTAAATACTATATAACCAAAAATGTTTAAAAATGCCAAACTAAGGGGAAAAATTAATTTTCACTGAAACTAAAATTTAACTTAATTGGAATTTAATCTTCTTCTGTGAACTGAGTTAATTTTATTTCTATTTTTTTCTTTGTATTCAATATTTTTAACAAAAAAATCTTCATAGACAAGTTTAATTGTTGGACTCACAGTGCTTGAAACTAACTTGGGTAATGATCACATCTAAAAGTAGAAATTATCTTCATTTTAGGGCTGCAATTTGCTACTTTTGAAATAGAAATATTTTATCATAATTGCAGTAAGAATGAAGAGATGCTCTAAGTATCAATTTTAGAAAAATTTAGAAACTAACTTTTGGGTCAACTACTCTAAATGGTGGATTATCACCTTTAATGATAGCTTGAAATGAAATTCAGTGGTAATTGTAACACATGATTGCCTCATTTGGATTTGCTATGAAAGTTTAAAATTAAAACTGATTATATAGCACAACTATTTTACTGGGTCATCTGGCTTTATACCGATTTCTAACCTTTTATTCCAGATTTGCATAAATAACAGAGAAAAACAAGTCATGTATGTATAAAATAATTGTATACTTAATTATTATTTTTCTTTTTAAAAAAATGACTTTTTTTATATAGAAACCTTTGCTCTGTTCTAAAATGAAAGTATTCTGATGCTTGGAATAAAACATTTACTATAGATTAAAACTAAAGAAAGATCTAATAACTCTTTGTATTTAAATGTTAAATGTTATTTCAACTATAGAACTGAGGTTTTTTTAAATATGAAAAATGATGAGAATACTTCCTAAAGATGAACTTTATTCTACATGAGCACAACATATCTATTTTTTTCCATGTATCTGTATAGTCTTCATAATTTTCAAACATTTCATGCCTCTACTCCTTGCTTTCACAGGTTACACATAGCTAAAGGAGAAAAATACACCTTTATAAGAAGTACTGAATGAAAATAATCTTTGTCTTTGAGTGTTTGTTGAATAAAATCTAGTTATCTTTCTTTCTGGTAGACCCCTAAGGCATCATTTTTCTCTCCCCATTATTCCTGATGATTCCATGATTCTCTTTCCTTTGCCTGAATATATGAAAGTTCAGCTACTGTTTTCTTACCCTTAACATTGGAAAAATTTACTTTGATGGCAGGAAAGGGAAAGCGAACATGTTTCCCAGAGCTCCTTTCATTAAGTACATTAAAGGTGACTATTTCAATCCTCTTTGGGTCCAAGTAGGTATTTCTGCCGGATTGGGTCAAAGGACATTCTAGTGGTAACACGTTGTTCTACATTTAAAAGAATCTATCCCTGCTGATTATAGAATTATTTCCATGACCATGTATAAGACATTGTCACTCATTTCTCACTCAGGGCATTGTTTCTTTTTTTGCAGTGTTTTCTCAGATATAAGTAAGAAATATTATTCTAAATTCTTGATCCACTGTTCTAAAGATAACAGTTGATAAAAGCCACTTTAAATATATCTCATAGAAGGCATATTTTTATGGTATGATATAGTGAACAAATAGTCTAAGGAGAACTGAAAATGCAGATTATATCCCAGGACTCTCAGTAGGCAACTATTAATCTGACTAATAAAACAGTAATACAAATATTCATAATTTTATTATAAAGGAGAAAAACTGCTCTTCAAATATTAAATATTTCATATTTAATCTCATTTAACCTGGCAAATAAGCATATTAAAACTCTGATATATTGCCATTTTCACACATAACATAAATAATAAGAGGTAGAATGGATGTTTATCTTAGATAAGTGCTTCTGAAATTGCTGCCAGTAGACTTTCTGTATCAGAAACTAATGTAGATGATGATTATAAATGGACATCATTAAGTTATTAAATTTTATCATACAGTTACAATCATCTGATACTCTAAGGTTAGAAATTCAGATATCTGCATTTCTAATATGTTCATTATATAATCCTAAAGGATATAAAAATTTGAGAAACTTTATGTTAGGCTTTTTGCCTGCTATCCTTTCTAAAATATACGTAACAATTTTATCAGGATATATAATCTAAACATCTTAAAACAATATCCCATATTCTAACACATAAATTTACAAGGTGCTACTAGTATAGTGTTCATTAAATTTTCAATGAATGAATTAAATAACATTGCTTAGATTAGAGATGCCAAATGGATGCCAAATTTGGCAGATTGGTAATACCTGCCTGAAGTATTAAAATGACAAAAAAGTTTGAATCCAGATAAAAGGAAAATTTTCTATAGTCTACTAACCTGGACTGCTACAGTCAATGGGTAGGTAAAAGGCACTATGCTTGCCAAGTAATTTCCAGTCTTGAAATAGCCTGTTATTATTACATCTACCTTGAGGCTTAGCCTGCATGTGGCACTACTTCTTTTTTTCAGTATAGATTAAATTTTATTAAAATTTCTTTCTTCTCTTAAACTTTATTTTTAAAGTTTTATTGTATTTTTTGACACATAGCAATCATACATGTTTATCAGGTCCAGTGTGATGCTTCAATGCATATATACAATGTGTCATAACCAAATTAGGGCAATTAGCATACCCATCACGTCAAGCATTTATCATTTCTTTATGGTGAAAACATTTAAAATCTCTTGTAGCTATTTTGAAATATAACATGTAATTTTTAACTATCATCACTCTACTGTGCAACAGAAAACTAGAACTTATTCCTCTTATCAGTCTATAACTTTGTACCTATTGACCAAATCTCTTTGTACCTATTGACCATCCTCCTTTCCCCCTGCTTTTCCCAGATTCTAGTAACCACCATTTTGCTCTTTATTTCTGTGGGATCAACTTTTTTAGATTCTATGTACAAATGAGATCCTGTGCTATTTGTCTTGCCAAACCAGATATTTCTTTGGGTGTGTTCTACACAAGTGTACAAATAATAAATAATTTTCATTTCATACAGATATTTGTAAAATATTGAAATGATTCACAATTATCCAATTCATTATAAAAATATAGAATAATTCTGATGCCATAACAAAGGAAGAAAGGCATAAAAAACAAAATATAAACCAGTCCTCCCTATGCACATAATCATAAAATTTTTAAAGAAAGATTTAGGAAAATTTAATCCCCTAAAAATACCCTAAAACAAATCAGGATTTATTTTATTAAGAATATAAGCAACATGTTAACTTTATAACTTACATTTAAAAAAGGAAAACCATGTAACCATCTCTACATATTGCATTAACCACTAAAATTCTGTATTCTTTTTAAATACATTGCTATCAAGCTTCGTTTTGAGTTAGATGATGACTGAGCTTGATGAAGAATATCACCAGAAATCTATAGCATCCAATAACTGGAGTAGTACTAGGTCTTTTGCAGATACTTATTAAATGTTTGCTGAATGAGAACATACAAGAAAACAAATTTAATACTAAAAACAAATAAGTTAATATATAATTTCAGTGTGGGAAATTTGGATTAGATATGCAGACAAACTGGTGATAAAAATGTTCAAATTAACCTGCATCAAGGAACTGCAAATGATAATAAAAATGAGAAAGTAGCCTATTTATTTGGCAAACAGCTAAAAAATTGGAACAGTCAATGTTAGGCAAGTTATAGAGGAAATAATATTTTCACAAACTCCTTGAAGATGTAGAAAAATCTATACTATTCTTTGGAGGGCAATTTAGTTTTATCTAAATTATTTGGAGGGATATACTCTCCAATGGGTTTGTGATATTTGAACCCATAAGTAGAGGCACAGTAATGGCATTAGCCATTGTGGCATTGTTTTATAGTAGTTATAGAAATGACCTACATGTCTAATAATAAGAGAATAGTGAATAAATTATAGACTATAGTGTGAAACAATATGTATCATTTAAAGGAGAGAATCTTCATATGTAAACCTGAAAAATTGTCTATTTCGCTATAACCCTTTTTTGTCAATAAATGTCCATGTGGCTCTGTCTTTCCATTCATTCTGCTCTAAGAAATTGGCTAATTTTAAAAAAATTTCCTTCATGCTCAATACTACATTTTACTGTGCTTTCAAATAACACCTTTGACATACTTGTTGACTATAATATTGGAAAAATTGTTTATGTTTTATTCTTTTAGGTTTAAGTTTTGGCTTCTTGTTTTCTTTTAACATTATCACTATGTTATGAAGTAGTGATCATTGAGTATTTTCTTCTATAACAAGCGACTGAAGAAAGTAGCTTTGTCCTATTTCTTGGGATAATATTTACATATATGACTTTTGAATATTAAAGTAGTTTTTATTGTATGAGTTTTATAAATAAAATAATTCATTAACTATATTCTTTGGGTTTTCTAAATGTTACTATAATAAAGTGTTTGAAACGTTAAAAAGCATCTTCTTAAAATCATCCTATAAATTTCTGCCATGATCAAAGTTCCCCTTAGACACTACGTATCTCTAGTCAAAAAGCCAATGAGTTTTATCTAAAGAGTAAAGTTTCATGAGTTTAATGGGTAATGGCATCAAAATAACACACAGTGAACAGGCCCCAGAAAAATGATATTGATATATTTCAGCACAAGCATAAACAACAACAACAAAATACTATATTTTAAATTTCTTGAAATATAGACTTATTTAATTATTTCCAAACTATATATATTAGGAGATTTATGAAATGAAAGTTGTAGGTATAATCACACAACCAAACATGCACGTACACAGAAGGTTTTTTGTGACAACATGTCCTCCAAAATGTACATTTAAAAAATAAAAAAAAACATAGACTAATTTTATATATAAATCGAAGTCACCAGTTATAAATTTATAGACACTTATAAAGTGTCTTTTGTTAACCTGTTCACAGAGAAAGAGATTTAGAAACAAGAATGCTTAACTATTTCAGGTTAGAAGTCAATTAATTTTTTTAAATTACATTCCATTAGGAAAACAGACATTAATATATCAGAGTGATGAAATTAGCCCAGTTATTTGACATCTTTATTTCTAAATTTTATATATTTAAATGTTGTATAAAGGAGGATTTTCTTTTTATGTTAAACTTTCAATGGATGAGCTTGTTGCTTGTAAATTAATTACTGATCCAGTAAGAATTGTGCACAACAATTAAGATAATTGACCCAGGAGGGAGGAGAGTGAGGACTGAAAAACTATATATTGGGTATTATGTTCTGTGCCCGGGTAAAGAAATCATTTGTACAACAAGCCCCAGCAGCATGCAGTTTACCCATATGACATACCTGCACATGTATCCCCTGAACCTAAAATAAAAGTGGAAAGAAAAAATAAATAAATTTACATTTCCTGAAAGAAAAAAAAGATAATTGACCCAATAATCAGATGCCTTAAAAATAAGGGTGCAAACAGAACCATTGTTCAGTAATAGTTAAAAACAGAAAAAATAAAAATGGTTAAGATCCATAATTTTGTGCAAAGTGAAGTAAATGTACACCTTCTAAATAATTTATTAAATATTTTATAAGAATATGTATGCCCTATTAGTAAAGCTTGATTATGAACAATATGTTTCACTGAAATTCCAGTGTTAGTATGCAAGCATTTCATAGAAATGAATTGTCACTTTGTAATAGATATTTTTATAAAACCCTTGAAATGGTATTCATATATGTTTTTACATGTTTATTCCTGATAGAGGCTGTGCATTTTAAAAAATTAATTGTTTCCAATGCCCAAAAAGCCTAAAAACACTACAAAATAGTGTGTGATGTGTGTGTGTGTGTGTGTGTTTATGTGTGTGTATAGTAACTTCCTGCCAAAACTAAAGCTAAAGGGCTTCTGGTGATTTTTAGGTTCTTACACTTTGGCAGACTTATGCAGAAGATATTGTGTGGGGAATAACAATGTCATTTCAATTGATATGATATTGTCAAACACCGTAACAGCACTCTTTCAATTGGTATGATATTGTCGAACACAGTGAAAGCACTCAAATAAATAGAAATAGATAGAAATTTTATCCAGCCAGCAACTGCCAAGAAACTCAATTCCTTACAAATTCTTAGTAGGATTATAAAAAACAGCATGGAAATAAAAATGAAAGCAGTTTCATCGAACCAGGACAGTTTCTCTATTACTGTCTATCCAGTGTTCAAATCAATGTCATCAACAAATTTTGTATCAGATTTCCAATTAAATGCAGAATAAATCAAAATAAGTAGTTCTTACTGAAAAATATTTTCTTGGGAAACTTAATTTTCTGGGTAGCAGTTAAGGAAGTCTTGTCACTCTGAATATTTCAGTAGATGCAATGATTTAGTATGAAATTAATCATTAATTTATTTAATTAATGTGGAAAAACCTAACATTAAAAAAGTAAAAATTCCTTTTTTTTTGTAATAAAGCACACCCTTGAGTGTTCATATACCTCAAGTTTTCTCTGATATAACTGGTAGATTCCTCCTTTTTTTTTTCTGAGCTGGTGTAATCACTGAGTTTCTCAGGCTCTTTGCTGAACAACCAAACAAATGGAGAACCCCTTCCTCTGTGTTCATGCTTTTATATTATCCACTTAACTGCTGACTTTGCAGTAACTTAAATAAATTTTAATCAAGAGAGAACCTTCATGTCTGCCAATATTTTAACCCAGAATATATCTTTTGGTCAAATTTAACCAATTTTCTTTTGGGTGAATTGTATAAAATGAAGTGTGGATTGCGGAAAGACCTAGATAGTTGTGAGACTCACTGGTTACAGGATGTGTACGCCTAATCCAAATCTCTGAGAATTGGTAGACATAGAATTGTGTGTCTTGGAAGCAAGAAGACCTGTTTTTACATGTGTTAGAAAATTTAGAGTGTGGGCACTTATAGCTAAGGCCCATCAGTAATAGGATTTATTTCTCTGAGAGGCATCTGCTGGTGCAGGAAGAGGCAAAGGATAAGATATGAGTATTCTAGACAGCCACAAAATAGAATTCTAAGAATAGGCTAATTGCAGGTAGATGCAGCTACTCTAAAATATTTAGTTAATGAGCTTATTCATCAGGGCATAAGCTGTATCGAGTTTATAAAGGTAAATTTGGTCCATTCTCTAATGGAAGAAATAGGGAATGCCTTAGTATCTAGCAGAAAGTAATATTGGGCCAATCCTACACCAGCCCTTGAGTATTACGTAGTTTGATGAAGTTCCAAAGCCAGGGACAGATTTAAGCCCCCTTCCCACAACTTGGAGGTAGGCACCTTGCAGTGACTCCTCTGAAGTGCAGAATAAAAAGTAGTTCATCTCAGCAAAACTCCTGCCCAAATTACTGTATTTAGAATTGCCAGTGTTCTGAGGGGAGTACTACTAGAAATGCAGTAAATGTCCTTCAAATTTCATGGTCTTAGTGGCCTCATTGAAAAGCATTTAGTAAAGTTGTTTGATCTCACTGTGGGAATGAAAACACTAGGAAATTAGTAAGTTGTACTGATTTACTGCTTCAGCTTAGAACCTCATAGAGAGACATTGTGTTTCCTCATTTGGGATGGTATAAAAGCATATTTATTCATACAAAGGATACTATATCCTGGGAGAAAGCATGGAGTTGTTTTATTTTTGTTTACAAGTTCAAATATAAGCATTTGTACAAAGAGGGCTGACTAGTCAAAAAGACAGACCATACCAATTGCTAAGGTATTTTCAGTTAGTTCCAAACTACTGTTCTACACTTCATTTTGTGATGCCAGGGCAGAGATGCTGAAAACCGCATTTCTACTTTGGCAACTTGTTCCCTGTAAGGCTCTGACAATAGTGGGCAGCAGAGGAAGACAAGATGTTTAGAGGAGAAAAAAGCACAATAATTTTATTATTATTATTATTATTATACTTTAAGTTCTGGGATACATGTGCATAGCATACAGGTTAGTTACATAGGTATACATGTGCCATGGTGGTTTGCTGCACCCCTCAACCTATCATCTACATCAGGTATTTCTCCTAATGCTATCCCTCCCCTTGTCCCAACAGGCCCCAACAAACCCCTGACAGGCCCCAGTGTGTGATATTCCCATCCCCGTGTTCATATGTTCTCATTATTCAACTCCTGCTTATCAATGAGAATATGCAGTGTTTGGTTTTCCATTCCTGTGTTAGTTTGCTGAGAATGATGGTGTCCAGCTTTATCCATGTCCTTGAAAAAGGCATGAACTCATTTTTTTTTTTTTTTTGAGATGGAGTCTCACTCTGTTGCCCAGGCTGGAGTGCAGTGGCGTGATGATCTCTGCTCACTGCAAGCTATGCCTCCTGGGTTCACGCCATTCTCCTGCCTCAGCCTCCCGAGTAGCTGGGACTACAGGCACCGCCACCACGCCTGGCTAATTTTTTGTATTTTTAGTAGAGACGGGGTTTCACCATGTTAGCCAGGATGGTCTCAATCTCCTAACCTCGTGATCCACCCTCCTCGGCCTCCCCAAGTGCTGGGATTACAGGCGTGAGCCACCTTGCCCAGCCAAACTCATTTTTATGGCTGCATACTATTCCATGGTGTATATGGAGGGAGGCACAGTACTTTTTGTTTTATGTTTCCATTTTTCTTCTTATTCAGCTTCACCACAGCATTGTTTCTTCACTTATGTATTTGCAATTTTGTCCAAAAATTGTATTTTAATCCATTATGCAGTCTTTTCCTCAAACAATGCCCAAATAAGTCCCCTCACACTCCACATACAAACATTATCACTAGCTTATCTGTATTCTCTCCTCAGTGATGTGAATACCAGCCCTACAGAGCTTCTATTCTGATTTCATTTTTATACCAGAATCAAGACCTGTAAGACTAAAGTGTCATCCTACTCATAAGCTATTAAGTTAGCATGTAATAGTTTCAGGGATGCTGGAAAAAGTCATGAGACTTCTGAACAAAAGATAAAGTCTTCAGAAACAAAAAGCAGTTTACTATTCACAGAAATACCAATAGGGTATCTTATATTACACCATTTCTCTGAGCTCCACTTCCTACGAGGAAGTGTGAAGAGGATGCTGGGTTGCAGAAGAGGAATCCCAAGCTTTGGGAACCTGAATATTTTATCATGAAATGTAAGAAAACATACCTAGCCTTTGCTCCAGAAACAGACATTCTCTTTATTTGATTCAACAGTAGACAATCCTATCCTCTGCTCCAGAGGGAGACAGTCTCTCAATCTCGCAAGGCTTTTCACTAAACAAAGATCTTTGGCAAGACAGTCTAGAAGAGAGGCAGTGGTGCGTCTGCTTGCAAGAAGTATAGAAATAGAAAAGACTCATAGATGATTGCCTCACAAAAATATTCACCCCTCATGCCTATATAATTTTGCCAAATTTCCCCCAGTACTATACCAATCTAAGCACCATTCTTATTAGTTTGATGGAAAAGTCCTGGGACTAAATCCATTCATTTTGTCTCATGCCATATTTAACTAAAGCTACTAACAGTAGAACTCCAGGAAATAGAATGAGGCCTGTAGTATTGAACTCAACCATGCTCCCAGCTTTTAAGACCTAACCAGCTAAAAAAATAAGTCTCATAAACCAGTAGGGTCTATCTTAGAAAGCCAATGACTTTCCTCAACTTTCTGTACTTACCTTTTCACTAGGCCTGAGGCATTAATCCAGGTATAACAGGATAATCTAGGGTAATGCTATTACACATAACAACTCTGACCAATGAGTTAGGTTGACCTGAATGCCTTCTAGGGCTAGGCAGTATCATTAGCCATTTCAGCTAAACTTAGGGATACATTTTTTATGACGATTTTTAATTAGATAACCCATTCCCCTAACCCCCACCATTAGAGGGACAACTATCCACCTGGAGTGGATGAATAGTGAGTCAGTTATTCCCTTGGGAAGCTCTCCTGGTTAATCAATGGTAACCTCTTTGGAGAGGTATTATCAGAAGGCTACATGATCTACTTGAATATTTTCTTAAATATTTTAATTTTTTTAATGACTGCTACTAATATCTGAGTTACTGAATGCTCAGGAGGGAATCAAATTAATGACTGATAACTCACACAAAAAATAGAGGCCCAAGAGTACATGTGCTGCTCTGGAAGGGAAATGTTGTATGCAATTATTGGAGATCACTAAAAGCAACCTACATCACTTGGAGACACAGATGAACAACACTTCTACATAGCTTTTCATACAACTGGTGGATCTTAAGAATCCTAGTTCAATTCAAATACTTTAGTCAATTTCTCTTTTTTTGGAGGTATTACTCAAGGGTATTCATTACTGTTTGGCCAGTTTGTACACATCACAAACTAGGAGATACTTTTTAATACCATGGAGTGATGAAACAACAAATATGAGAATGTGGGTAAAGAAGACATCCAGAATTATTGACAGGTTTTTTGCCTTGGAAGAGTTGGAGTCTGGTAGACTTCTTGGTAAGGTTAAAGGGAATGTCAGTCAAATTTTGATTAGTCAAGGGTGGCAAATTCAAGAGCCAGTTAAATTTAAGGTGTTCTCAGCAATTTGTGAGAACAGCAACAGTGGATTTTCCTTTGGGAAGAACCCTCTAAGGATGGTCCTAAAAGACAAAGATCATTAATGCCTCCCACTTCTCCATACCTCCCAGAGTCTAAGCTAGCAGCATTTTTGCTGTTTCCAATTCCAAAATTTCATGCTTACTATTCCACTAGCTATAATTTTATTATATGTTTATCCCACAATTATTATCATACATATTATCACACTGCTTTTGGCCCACCTAGGCCATATAGGAAGACTGAAAGCAACATACTTAGAAAAAGTGATCACTGTGCCATAGATCTAGAACTATGTTAATTCAGCAAGAGGACCCAGGTGAATAAACCTATATTAAATTCGAATCCCTGAGGATTTATTTTGGCCATTGGAGTATGTAGCAATCAGAATAGCCAGGAATTGCTATTAGAGGAAAGAGTAAAGTATCATGACCAGGAATAGTGAAGATGAAATCCTAAATTTCCAAGAGTGGATGATCTTTTTTAAGACACTCACACTCAATGACAAAAATCCCTTTTTAATATATGTAGTGAAGGAGGAGGTTAAAAGGGATCAAGAATTTGATATTGTTAGTTGGCCAGGATCAGGCAAAGAGAGCAAAGACAATGCCTCCCTCACTGCAAGATAATTGGTCAACTTGTCTCAGAAATCACAAGCTGGCATGCAATGCTTGTCTTTGCCTAAAAGATAGTATCATTTATTTTGTGTGGAGTCTATTATAGTACATATGTCACCATCTACAGTGTTATAATTAATCTAGGCAGCAAAGATAGTAATATGGCATCTAAGAGAATCAAACAGCAGCTTGATTCCATTTGGCCTTATCATACAATGATGCCTTTATCATGAGCATATATACAAGTGAGCCAGGTAGTTCAAACAGGCACAGATTATTTTCATAGTTCACGATCCCAAATAATTTAATCTCCAGTCTATAGTTTTCCAAGTTGTAGACAAAACTGCTAAAGCATTGGCAAAATCTTAAGATTCAGAAAATATAACAAAGTTTATTAAATATAACAGAGATCTGTGACTTCCTCGAGTTCTTCCCACTGAGCAGATTGAGTCCATTTTGTGTTGCTCCATAGAGGAGCTGAGTTTGAACAGCCACAGAAGCACAATGAAAAACGTGCTTCAGTATTGAGGGAAGACTCTACGAATAGTGAGCCCCATTGAGCCAGTGATTTGGCCCTATAGAACACAGCAAGGAATAGATTTTCCTTCAAAGAGATAGCTGTCATTATTTCAAATAATCCCTGAGGTGCTGCTGGGGCTGGGCCAGCTGTATTCTTGAATACTGCCACCATTTCTGATTTCCTCCTTAGAATATTTGAAATGATTTTGAGTTTATGATTGGTCATTCACTAGAAAGTATTTTTAATATATATATTTGCAATGAATTTCTAGTGTTTGTAGGTATTTTTAAGCATAATACAAAAGTCAGTCATCACAAAGGACTTCTGGGATTATGTAAAATAGCAATTAATACATTTCTATAAAGTACAATATAAAAAATATTTAAAAGAACATTATATATTTTTACTTAATTTTCTAATATACAAATTTCTCTTGAAAAATCAATATGAAACAGAAAGCACCAGAGGAAAAATGGAAGACAAAAATATAGAAATGTCCAACACACATTTTTTAAACTTTTATTTTAAGTTCCAGTGTACATGTGCAGAATGTACTGGTTTATTATATAGGTAAGCGTGTGCCACGGTAGTTTGCTGCACAGATCATCCCATCACCTAGGTACTAAGCCCTGCATCCATTAGCTATTCTTCCTGATGCTCTCCCTCCTTCTGCCCTCAGCCTCCGACAGGCCACAGGGTGTGTTGTTCCACCCCATGTGTCCACGTGTTCTCATCATTCAGCTCCCACTTAAAATTGAGAACATGCAGTATTTGATTTCCTAGTCCTGTGTTACTTTGCTGAGGATAATCGGCTTCCAGCTTCATCCATGTCCCTGCAAAGGATGTGATCTCATTCCTTTTTATGGTTGCATAGTATTCCATGGTGTATTTATACCACATTTTCTTTTTTTTTTAATAATACTTTAAGTTCTAGGGTACATGTGCACAACTTGCAGGTCTGTTATATATGTGTACATGTGCCATGTTGGTGTGCTGCATCTATTAACTCATCATTTACATTAGGTATATCTCCTAAAGCTATCCCTCCCCACTTCCCCTACCCCACTACAGGCCCTGGTGTGTGATGTTCCCCTTCGTGTGTCCAAGTGTTTTCATTGTTCAGTTCCCACCTATAAGTGAGAATATGTGGTGTTTGGATTTTTGTCCTTGGGATAGTTTGCTGAGAATGATGGTTTCCAGCTTCATCCATGTCCCTACAAAGGACATGAACTCACCCTTTTTTATGGCTGCGTAGTATTCCATGGTGTATATGTGCCACATTTTCTTAATCCAGTCTATCATTGTTGGACATTTGGGTTGGTTCCAAGTCTTTGCTATTGTGAATAGTGCCGCAATAAAGATACATGTGCATGTGTCTTTATAGCAGCACAATTTATAATCCTTTGGGTATATACCCAGTAATGGGATGGCTGGGTCAAATGGTATTTCTAGTTCTAGATCCCTGAGGAATTGCCACACTGTCTTCCACAATGGTTGAACTATTTTACAGTCCCACCAACAGTGTAAGTGTTCCCATTTCTCCACATCCTCTCCAGCACCTGTTGTTTCCTGACTTTTTAATGATCGCCATTGTAACTGGTGTGAGATGGTATCTCATTGTGGTTTTGATTTGCATTTCTCTGATGACCAGTGATGATGAGCATTTTTTCATGTGTCTGTTGGATGCATAAATGTCTTCTTTTGAGAAGCGTCTGTTCATATCCTTCGCCCACTTATTGATGGGGTTGTCTTTTTCTTGTAAATTTGAGTTCTTTGTAGATTCTGGATATTAGCCCTTTGTCACATGAGTAGATTGCAAAAATTTTTTCCCATTCTGTAGGTTGCCTCTTCACTCTGATGGTAGTTTCCTTTGCTGTGCAGAAGCTCTTTAGTTTAATTAGATCCCATTTGTCAATTTTGGCTTTTGTTGTCATTGCTTTTCGTGTTTTAGACATGAAGTCCTTGCCCATGCCTATGTCCTGAATGGTATTGCCTAGGTTTTCTTCTAGGGTTTTTATGGTTTTAGGTCTAACATGTAAGTCTTTAATCCATCTTGAATTAATTTTTGTATGTAAGGAAGGGATCCAGTTTCAGCTTTCTACATATGGCTAGCCAGTTTTCCCAGCACCATTTATTAAATAGGGAATCCTTTCCCCATTTCTTGGTTTTGTCAGGTTTGTCAAAGATCAGATGGTTGTAGATGTGTGGTATTATTTCTGAGGGCTCTGTTCTGTTCCGTTGGTCTATATCTCTGTTTTGGTACCAGTACCATGCTGTTTTGGTTACTGTAGCCTTGTAGTATAGTTTAAAGTCAAGTACCATGATGCCTCCAGCTTTGTGCTTTTGGCTTAGGATTGTCTTGGCAATGCAGGCTCTTTTTTGGTTCCATATGAACTTTCAAGTAGTTTTTTCCAATTTTGTGAAGAAAGTCATTGGTAGCTTGATGGGGATGACATTGAATCTATAAATTGCCTTGGGCAGTATGGCCATTTTCACGATATTGATTCTTCCTATCCATGAGCATGGAATGTTCTTCCATTTATTTGTGTCCTCTTTTATTTCATTAAGCAGTGGTTTGTAGTTCTCCTTGAAGAGGTCCTTCACATCCCTTGTAAGTTGGATCCCTAGGTATTTTATTCTCTTTGAAACAATTGTGAATGGGAGTTCACTCATGATTTGGCTCTCTGTCTGTTATTGGTGTATAAGAGTGCTTGTGATTTTTGCGCATTGATTTTCTATCCTGAGAGTTTGCTGTAGTTGCTTATCAGCTTATGGAGATTTTGGGCTGAGATGAGAGGGTTTTCTAAATATACAATCATGTCATCTGCAAACAGGGACAATTTGACTTACTCTTTTCTAATTGAATACCCTTTATTTCTTTCTCCTGTCTGATAGCCCTGGCCAGAACTTCCAACACTATGTTGAATAGGAGTGGTGAGAGAGGGCATCCCTGTCTTATGACAGTTTTCAAAGGGAATGCTTCCAGTTTTTGACCATTCAGTATGATATTGGCTGTGGGTTTGTCATAAATAGCTCTTATTATTTTGAGATACGTCCCATCAATACCTAATTTATTGAGAGTTTTTAGCATGAAGAGCTGTCAAATTTTGTCAAAGGCCTTTTCTGCATCTATTGAAATAATCATGTGGTTTTTGTCTTTGGTTCTATTAATATGCTGGATTACGTTTATTGATTTGGGTATGTTGAACAAGTCTTGCATCCCAGGGATGAAGCCCACTTGATCATGGTGGATAAGCTTTTTGATGTGCTGCTGGATTCGGTTTGCCAGTATTTTATTGAGGATTTTTGCATTGATGTTCATCAGGGATATTGGTCTAAAATTCTCTTTTTTTGTTGTGTCTCTGCCAGGCTTTGGTATTAGGATGATGCTGACCTCATAAAATGAGTTAGGGAGGAGTCCCTCTTTTTCTATTGATTGGTATAGTTTCAGAAGGAATGGTACCAGCTCCTCCTTGTACCTCTGGTAGAATTCGGCTGTGAATCCATCTGGTCCTGGACTTTTTCCACATTTTCTTTATCCGGTCTATTACTGATGGGCATTTAAGTCTATTCCATGTCTTTGCTGTTGTGAATAGTGCTGCAATGAACATACACACGCAGATATCTTTATAGCAGAATGATTTATATTCCTTTGGGCATATACCCAGTAATGAGATTGCTGGGTCCAATGGTATTTTTGCCTCTAGGTCTTTGAGGAACACCACACTGTCTTCCACAATGGTTGAACTAATTTACACTCCCTCCAATGCGTAAAAGAGTTCCTTTTTTCTCCACAACCTTGCCAGCATCTGTAGCTTGTTTTTTGGCTTCTTAGTAATAGCCATTCGGACCCATGTGAGATGTTATCTCATTGTGGTTTTGATATGGATTTCTCTAATGATAAACGATACAACACACCTTTTAAAATATGTGAAACTCAGTAGCAGCAGAATGAGAATAAACACAAAGTCATAAAAAGACATTGGATATTTGCTGCTTTCCAGAATGTTAAAAAATGTGCTATCAAATGCAAAAGAACTTGAAATTATAACAGCCTCTCAGACCACAGTGCAATCAAATTAGAACTCAGGATTAAGAAACTCACTCAAAACCACACAACTACATGGAAATTGAACAACCTGCTCCTGAATGATTCCTGGGTATATAATAAAATTATGTCAGAAATCAAGAAGTTCTTTGAAACCAATGAGAACAAGTAGACAATGTACCAGAATTTCTGGCACACAGCTAAGCAGTGTTAAGAGGGTAATTCATAGCACTGGATGCCCACATCAGAAAGCTGGAAAGATCTAAAATTGACACCCTAATAGCATGATTAAAAGAACTAGAGAAGCAAGAGTAAACAAAATGAAAAGCTAACAGAAGACAGGAGATAACTAAGATCAGACCAGAACTGAAGTAGCTAGAGACACAAAATCAACGAATCCAGGAGATGGTTTTTTGAAAAAATAATAATAATAATAACAAAATAGATAGACTGCTAACTAGACTAATAAAAAACAAGACAGAAGAATCAAATAAAAAACGATAAAGGTGATATCACCACTGATCCCACATTAATACAAACTACCATCAGAGAACACTATAAACACCTCTATGCAAGTAAACTAGAAAATCTAGAAGAAATGGATAAATTCCTGGACACATTACACTGTCCGAAGACTAAATGAGGAAGAAGTCGAATCCCTGAATAGACCAGTAACAAGTTCTGAATTTGAGGTGTAATTAATAGCCTACCAACCAAAAAAAAAAAAAAAAAGCCCAAGACCAGCTGGATTCACAGCCGAATTCTACCAGATGTACAATGAGGAGCTGGTGGCATTCCTTCTGAAACTTTTCCAGACAATAGAAAAAGAGGGACTCCTCCCTAATTCATTTTATGAGGCCAGCATCATCCTGATACCAAACCTGACAGAGACACAATAATAAGAGAAAACTTCAGGCCAATATCGCGAAAATCCTCAGTAAAATACTGGCAAATCGAATCCAGCAGCACATCAGAAAACCTATCCACTGTGATCAAGTCGGCTTCATCCCTGGGATGCAAGGCTGGTTCAACATTCACAAAACAATAAACATAATCCATCACATACACTGAACCAAAGATAAAAACCCCATGATTATCTCAATAGATGCAGAAAAAGCCTTGGATAAAATTCAACATCCCTATGTTAAAAAATCTCAATAAACTAGTTATTGATGGAACATATCTCAAAATTATAAGCTATTTATGACAAGCCCATAGCCAGTATCATACTGAATGGTCAGAAGCTGGAAGCATTTACTTTGAAAACCAGGACAGGACAAAGAAGCCCTCTCTTACCACTCCTATTCAACATAGTATTGGAAGTTCTGGCCAAAGCAATCAAGCAAGAGAAAGAAATAAAGGGTATTCAGACAGAAATAGAGGAAGTCAAATTGTCTCTGTTTGCAGATGATGTGATTTGATATTTAGAAAACCTCATCATCTCAGCCCAAAAACTCCTTAAGCTGATAAGCAACTTCAGCAAAGTCTCAGGGTACAAAATCTATGTGCAAAAATCAGAAGCATTCCTCTACACCAAAAATAGACAAGCAGAGAGCCAAATAATGAGTGAACTCCCATTCACAATTGCTACAAAGAAGATAAAATACCGAGGAATATACCTTACAGGGGATGTGAAGGGCTTCTTCAGGGAGAACTACAAACCACTGCTCAAGGAAATAAGAGAGGACACAAACAAATGGAAAAATATTCCATGCTCATGGATAGGAAAAATCAATATTGTGAAAATGGCCATACTGCCCAAAGTAATTTATAGATTCAATGCTATTCCCATCAAACTACCATTGACTTTCTTCACAGAATTAGAAAAAAAACTACTTTAAATTTCATAAGGCACTAAAAAAGAGCTCGTATGGCAAAGACAATAGTAAGCAAAGACAATGAAGCTGGAGACATCATTTTACCTGATTTCAAACTATACTACAAGGCTACAGTAACCAAAACAGCATCGTACTGGTACCAAAACAGACATATAGATCAGAGACCTCAGAAATAACAACCACACATCTACAACCATCTGATCTTCCACAAATCTGAGAAAAACTAGCAATGGGGAAAGCATTCTATATTTAATAAATGGTGCTGGGAAAACTGGCTAGCCATATGCAGAGAACTGAAACTACACCCCTTCCTTACACCTTGTACAAATATTAACTCAATATGGCTTGAAGACTTAAATGTAAAACCCCAAACTGTAAAAACCCTAGAAGAAAACCTAGGTAATACCAATCAGCACATAGGCATGGGCAATGATTTCATGATGAAAATGCCAAAAGAAATTGCAACTAAAGCTGAAATTGACAAATGAGATCTAATTAAACTAAAGAGAGTGAACAGGCAGCTTAGAGAATGGGAGAAAATTTTGGCAATCTACCCATCTAACAAAGGTCTAATATCCAGAATCTACAAGGAACTTAAATAAATTTACAAGAAAAAAACAACCAACCCCATTAAAAAATGGGCAAAGGATATCGACAGATACTTCTGAAAAGAATACATTTATGCTGCCAACAAACATATGAAAAAAAGCTCAACATTACTGATCATTAGAGAAATGCGAATTAAAACCACAATGAGATACTATCTCATGGTAGTCAGAATGGCAATTATTAAAAAATCAGGAAACAACAGATACTGGTGAGGCTGTGGAGAAATAGAAACAGTTTTACAATGTTGGTGGGAATGTAAATTAGTCCAACCATTTTGGAAGACAGTGTGGCGATTCCTCAAGGATCTAGAACAAGAAATACCATTTGACCCAGCAATCCCATTACTGGGTATATACCGAAAGTAATATAAATCATTCTACTATAAAGACGTATGCACACGTATGTTTATTGCAGCACTATTTACAAAAGCAAAGACATGGAACCAACCCAAATGCCCATCAATGATAGACTCGATAAATAAAATGTGGCCATAAAGAGAATGACATTATATCCTTTGCAGGGACATGGATGATGCTGGAAGCCATCATCCTCATCAAACTAACACAGGAACAGAAAACCAAACACCACATGTTCTCACTTATAAGTGGGAGTGGAACTATGAGAACACATGGACACAGGGAGAAGAACATCACACACTGGGACCTGTCAGGGGTTGGGGGAGCAGCTAGGGGAGGGAGAGCATTAGGGCAAATGCCTAATGCATGTGGAGCTTAAAACCTGATTGACGGGTTAATAGGTGTAGCAAACCACCAAGGAATATGTATACCTATGTAACAAACCTGCATATTCTGCACATGTATCCCAGAACTTAAAGTAAAATAATTTTAAAAAGCTAAAAAGAAATGTGCTATCAGACATATTAGTAGTAGGAGTATAAATTGATATAATTTTTGTGAGGTCAGTTTCACAATATCAATCAAAATTTGATAAGAATAATATATGTCCACATAATTCATCTTTTAGATATTTATTTTATGTTGAAAAGGGCCATTATTAAAGATATAAGAATGCTTATCAAAATCTTATAATAGTGTAAAGTGGGAAATAACCTAAATATCCATCCAAAGGG
Source organism: Homo sapiens (assembly GCF_000001405.40). Lineage (NCBI taxonomy): Eukaryota > Metazoa > Chordata > Mammalia > Primates > Hominidae > Homo > Homo sapiens. Next base: position 85,797,591 of record NC_000005.10, read on the forward strand.
GATTTTTCTAGCAATTATGGTAGAGCTATACAATGGAACATCTTTTTATACACAAAGAAATGCTGCGTAGCTATTAAAATTAGTATAGAACTCCCATATTTGACACCAGAATAAGATCACAACATATAGTAAATAACAATGTGGTCAGAATGCGATGTGGACGGGATTTATGGGGACAAAAAAAAGTGCGTCTTTAGGCACAGTTCTCTGTGAGACTCAAAGTCCACCAATATTTGTATTTTCTTTTGCCCCTTCATATACCTCTCTCTAATATCCTTTTAGGAATGATTAATTCTATTGTGAACATTATTCAGAATAGAAAATTTGCAACTAGCTATGTGCATCCAAATTATGTGTATCCATAAATCTATCTGTGTCTTTCTGTCTGTGTGCATGCAAACCAACAACACCAAAGTCCATCTTAAAGCAGATATCTAGGGATAGTGGGACTGTTTATATTGTTTATGTATTTTTCTAAATTGTTAACTTTGAGCCTACAGGTTTTACAATGGGAAAAAAAGCAAAAACTATTAATTATATATTTGTGTATATAAACATAAATATTTGTATATATGTTTGTGTGTAGATATTTATAATATGTATCTAATGTATAATATGTATATACCTATATATATATACACACACACATATACACACACACATATATATATACACATATATAGGTATATATGTGTGTGTATATATATAGGTATATATGTATATATGTATGTGTATATATAGGTATATGTGTGTATATACATGTATATACATATATACCTATATATGTATAGAACACAGCATTGCAGGCACAGCATTAGTGTAGATGTTATGATTATTCCGAAAGAATGGAACTTGTTCTTTCTGTCCTGGAAAATTCTACAAGTTAAGTGGCAATTCAAGGCAATCATGCATAATCACATGATTAATATTGAACAGAATTGACTACAAAAAATATAGTACAAAGGATTGCACTATTCAACATGAGAGCACCTTAATTCCTGAGGTCGTTATTCCTAGAGTCATTTTGAGATACAGCTTGTAGCTTGTTTTCTGCCTTTTCTTTGAACAAACAATTTCACACTTCGCTTCTAAGCTTCTGCTTTGCCTTGTTGCCTCTCTCTCCTTTGCCAAGCTACTCTGATCTCTAGGTTTGCCTCAGTGTTCATACCACACATCTTTCCTATAAAATGTAGTTTATTGGTACAAATGCCTGATTCTATTACCTTGAAAACTTTTTATTGTGTTTCCTGTCTCCCAGGACCAATTATTTCTATGCCTTCTTGGTGTGACCTAACACTTAAATTCTGTGTAGAATTAGCTATACTGTCTCAAAATGGAGTAGGTTTAGTGGGGAAATGTAGAACTCAAACGGAGGAATAACAAATGAATTAAGCTAAGTTGATTTATTTTCTTTATAACTCACCATTTTTATCATTGAAATGAGCAAATGTGAAATAATTACCTTTACATTTCAGAAGACTTATGATTCTTTATTACATTCTTATCAAGTATTAGTAGGGTGATATAATTTTTCCCTTTTTGATACCATTCAAGTTTCAATTCAGTATTTTTAACAATGACAATTTATAATCATCATATTTGTAGATCATTTGACATAGCCAAAATGTTGAGGTTGATACTGGATTGAATTTTTCTTTCAAGTACAGTCAAGAGCCTTCTTGCTCTTATGTTGGAAGTGTTGCTTTTCAGGAACATTTACCTTCTTTACATTGATAACATTAAATGAAATGGTAACCAAACAGCTCTTCAAGATTCTAATAAAACACACTTATTATCTTTGGTCAAATAATCATTCTCTATTTCCACACATGATTAGTGCTTTTGTAAAACTGAAAGAAGCCATATTGTTTCAGCAAATATATACATTTAAACTATCAACTTATTTGAGAAAGAGTTAGATGAATTGTTCCAAGGGCTGGAAAAGGAAAGCAAAAGGAAGTGAAATTAGTAGTACAGAAATAGCAGAACTGTTCACAAAGCATCTACAAGCAAAGATAAAGAACCCAAAACAAAGACATTTAGACAATGGAATCACGCTGTGTATGAGGACCAATAGAGAGCTAATGCTATCAGTGCAGAGTATTCAGTTGTTCTCTCATCAAAAGCTATTCAGAGTGAAGATTTGGTTAAGCTAATGTTATTTCACCTCAAAAGCAGGGATGAGAATAATATTGTCATGTTGCATTCCCACTGGAGTAAATGGTTCTTCTCAGTGATGCTACATCAAGAGGCAAAACAACGAAAATAATTTGGAAAGTATATCTCATCCCTGATTAGGCAAACTTTTTTCTTATCCAAGGTTCAAGGCAAGAATTTATAAAAAGAAATGTTACCTCTATCAAAAAAGATTGTTATGGTTAATTGTACCTTTAAAAAAAAGAAGCTGATTAGTTTTCTTGCTTGTTATCTTCATGTTGTAAAAATTCCTGTACATTTATATTTTCTTTTGTGGCATCTCTAGTATGATGATTCTTTGTTTGCTAAATAATATAAAATATAAAGGGAAACTGTCCTAAGTCATTTAAGAAAAACAAAATGTATAAACTTATTAGTAATTTTACTTGTGTTGGTAATCAACGTTTTTATTAAGAAGGTAGAAAATCACTTCCGAAAACATACAAGAAACATTGCAAGTCGTAGAAATCACTATGAAAAAACTCAAAGCACCATCTCTACAAAAAATATATAAAAAAGAAAAATAATAAAAGAAAGTTGGAATGCAGTTCTATGGTAAATACTGTATAGCAGACACTTAAAGGCTTTTGTTTGGTGGTTTTGTGTTGGTTTTGTCTTACTTAGTTACTGATGTTTTATTCATTGCAATATCTATTTCCTCTCTTATTGCAACAGTACCAATAGCCCATGTGTTTTTTAGAAACTTGGTTCCACTAAAGCTCAGAGATGTAGCAAGTGTACCAGGCCAGTCAATTTACTCTATCATTGTCACAGAAACTGGAGATAATCTAAGAGAGATTAAGAAGGGTAAAGGAGACTAAGTTTTGAGAATGTTTTTTCTCTTATTGATTAGCTGCAAGTAGCAGGGGCCACCATGCAGAGCTTAAGAGTGGAGGCAATCTAATGGAAAGAAAGTCAAGAAATGCATCTGGTGACATTGATTGGGCCCTGCTTCACCATGTCTGAAACCAGGATTACTGCTTCATATTTTATGTCAGGCAATAAGTTATATTTTTGCTTAAGCCATTGAACTGAATTTTCTTTACTTGTAACAAAAAAGGATTCTATCTAAGACTCTTTTGTGAAGCAGAACAGTATGATTAATACCATCGGTAATTTACCTCTCAGTTAAAAATCACATTTTAAAGTTATTTTAATAACAAGCAAGATCCAAATACAATTAGACATTTCAAATTAATTAAAATTAAATGCACTAACAATTTAGACCATTAAATGGTTTACCTTGACCATAATGTCATTTAAAAAAACTGTATATTTAGCTTATACTTTTTCCATACATTATATATTTTTGAAAACATGGTTTATGTTATGAAATTCTCATATATATCACAATTTTGACCCTCCTAAACAGTGGTAGACATTTATCCTCCAATGAATCTCACAGTTTGGAGCATTAGCTTCAAATTCAGTTGCTGGTATGATGTACTTAAATATCCCTATATTTAGCAGTCCTACATGAGTTCCAACGCGACCACAAATGTTTTAGTTATGAGAGTTTCAGAAAAAAAGCTACAGACAGTTGTATAGATAAGCTGCACTGTCTATAGAGTTTTATAAAGCATGGCATTAAAATCCTAATTGGGAAGACTCAATGTGAGTAGAGTTTGGGGAGAAGATTCATAGGAAGGGAAAGGTTAATGAGAGAAGGACAAGATATACTAAAATCTAAGTGAGGTAAATTTAAACACTATAACAATATGGATTACATCCATTGATTTAAGCAAGTTTTAGATGACATTTTCCTGGAGAGATGCTCAAAGACATATGAGCTGCAATGCAGCACAGTTAAACACACCTGTACTGCTGCAATGTAGCGCAGTTAAACACGCCACTGCTTACTGATTCTATTGATTGACATATAACTTAAGTTTTTAAGCACTCTTAATCACATAAAAATGAGAATTAAGATTCCCAAGTACCTAACTCTTGTTTTGCACATCAATTATCAATTTAAAGCAAGTTTCGGCTGGGTGCGGTGGCTCATGCCTATAATCCCAGCACTTTCGGAGGCCAAGGTGGGTGGATCACCTGAGGTCAGGAGTTCGAGACCAGGCTGCCCATCATGGTGAAACCTCATCTCTACTACAAATACAAAAATTACTAAAAATACAAATGTGGTAGCAGGCTCCTGTAATCCCAGCTATTTGGGAGGCTGAGGCAAGAGAATTGCTGGAACCTGGGAGGCGGAGGTTGCAGTGAGCCGAGACTATGCCATTGCACTCCAGCCTGGGCAACAACAGTGAAGCTCCATCTCAATAAATAAATAAATAAATTAATTAATTAATTGAAAACAAAGTAAGTTTTGAATTATGATGATTAATATATTATATAACAAATTTCTCAACAAAAATTCCTGTGGATCATTTGGAAATACTACAACTCCTCCAGGAAATAGTGATCTGCTGAATTTATTGGATACTCAGCTTTAAGGGTGGTAGAGGAAGTGGAAGTCTTAGCTTATACAAAGTGAAGTATTCTAGAAAAATGCATTATTTAATAGCCATCCACTGGTGGTTTTCTAAGTGGATGAAAACTGGGCATTAATATGCAGTTGTTAAGAAGAAGACAGTTTATTATCAAGTTCGAGAGTTTGGGTATGCAATATCTAGAACTGACGAATACGTTGAAGATTACAGTGAAAACATGGATGCTTGGAAAACTAGAGGATATAGAACATGCATTTGATGACTATAACAGCAGTGGTTAGTTAGAACAAAAATGAGGACACCATTTAGTAGATGAAACATGTCACTTTGTGACTATTGTCCATCTCTGCGAAAGTGATCTTTTGGCTCTGGATTAGAGTTTCATGCAAAACCTGTGGTGATGGGGCTGCTGAAGTGTTTGGGACATGTAAACACTTGGATTAGCATTTTGCGTTGTGTGAGTTTGCCTTTGGCCCAATTACACAAATCACAACTTAGTGTGTTTAAGATCCTTATTATGATGATAGACAATAAAAAGTCATTTGCTGCTAAACAATATAGGTTATAAGTGCACAGTGACTCATGCCTGTAATCCCAGTTCTTTGGGAGGCTAAGGAGGGAGGATTGCTTGAGCCCAGGAGCTTGAGACCAACCTGGGAAACATAAAGAAATCCAGCATCTACAAAAAATTTAAAAAACAGGCCAGGCGCGGTGGCTCACACATGTAATCCCAGCACTTTGGGAAGCCGAGGCGGGCGGATCACGAGGTCAGGAGATTGAGACCATCCTGGCTAACATGGTGAAACCCCATCTCTACTGAAAATACAAAAATTATCCAGGTGTGGTGGTGGGTGCCTGTAATACCAGCTACTAAGGAGGCTGAGGCAGGAAGACAGCGTGAACCCCAGAGGCAGAGCTTGCAGTGAGCCCAGATTGTGCCACTGCACTCCAGCCTGGGCAACAGAGCAAGACTCCCTCTCAAAAAAAAAAAAAATTAAAAAAAAATTAGTTTGGCATGGTGGCACACACCTGTGGTTCCAGCTATTTGAGAGGCTGAGACGGGAGGATGACTTGAGCTGGGGAAGTCGAGGCTACAGTGAGCTGAGATCCTGCCACTGAACGGCAGCCTGAGTGACAGTGAGAACCTGTCTCATAAATAAATAAACAAATAAATAAATAAATAATTATAAAGACTGGATCTCTCACATAAATTTAAAAACTTGGATATCTGCATTAGGTGTTTGCTTGTTTGTTTATTTGTTTGTGTTTAAGAAACAGGGTCTCCCTATATTGCCCAGACTGTAGTGCAGTCACTGTTCATAAGCTTGACTCAGCATTACAGCTTTGAACTCCTGGGTTCCAGCTATCTTCCTGCCTCAGCTTCCCAAGTAGATGGCACTACAGGTGTCCGCTGCTGTGCTGGTTCAGGTGGTTTATCTATATTTTAAAGTATTCTTTAATAGATCATCTCTAAAATTTTCTGATTTGGAACAGGAAATACAATATGGCTACAGTATATTGGGTTTGAACGGGGCTTAGAGAAATAAACAGAAGCTAGTTCCTAAAGGGCATTATTTTATTATAAGAAGCTTCAACTATATGTTAAATGGAAGAGGGAGTCATTTTAAAGTTTCCGACGAAGATAAGATCAACTTTAAATTTTAGAAAGATTGGTTTTGAAGGGATGTTATAGTCTACTGGAGAATAAATTTACTGTAGAGTTAGTTCTGCATTTCCTCTACAGGAATACTACTAGTAAAAGGAAATGTAAAATATTTACAGCCAAAGAAGCAAGAGGTAGTACCTGAAACTATTGGTTTGAAGTAAAATATTTTACTTCCTCATAATGGGCCTGAAAGTGGAAATTAGGACCTCACAATGCATTGACTTTGTGGACAGTAATTGGGAACTATAGATATGGGGTAAGATGTCTATGTGTTTGGATGGGGGAGGGCATAGTTCTTAACTGCAGAATCAAGAAACATCAAGTCAATTGTATAGATGAGAAGCAAGCCAAAACAAATGGAGGAATCTGTGTCTAAATATTAGCATTGAACATAAAGAACACTAAAATTAACAGGATACACGTGAAGATCTTGACCAATTTCATGAGAAAATATATTCAGAGATAAATTGAGTTGGCAGTGGAACAAAATCAATTTGAGAGAAAACATTAAAATTGGGCATTCGTGAACAGTGTGTAGAGAAATATCTTGAGTGATATGCTCAGGTATAAACTGATATTTCTGCTGTATTGGGAGGTTGGCAAATAGAGTGTATATTTTGTTCATACTGGTCACAAATACTAGGAATTGAGCATAAAATTGGCAGAAAATATAAATCACAAAAATGTCATTTTATATCATATGCTTTACCTATAAAATAAAAATAAATTACTTCAAATTAAATTTTCTTCATAAAGTGTGTGCTTTAATAAAAAGGGAGTCAAATTTTGAAAGTCATATGCTTTATTTATTTTCTCATATTTAATGACATTGCTTAACAAATGTAAATTTTGATATTTAGTAATTCTGGCTTTTATTTTTTTCATCTTTACGGCTTTAAAAATTAATTTAAAATTATAGGTTGTAAGAGATATTAGAGGGTAGTACAGTGTTAAGCTGTAATACTCAGAGTGTTACTGATGGTTAGGTGGTCAGAGAGACAAATGTAACTGAATGGAAAGGGCAGAAGGGTCACAAGGGAGCACAGGAATGCTATGAGCAAGACTGAGGAGGGGGCCTAGAAAGGAACTTAGCAGTTTTCTCCAGTTTAGAAGATTGTGTGTGCCATTTGTTTGTATATTTTCCTTTATGATTTTTTTTTTAAACTATTTCACATAAAAAAATTGTATAAAATTTTCCATGCGTATAAAATTTTATTTACAAAGAGTAAAAAAAAAAGTGTTATTTTTTAACACAATCTATATAAATATATAATTCATTCTCATTCAAATCAGCTTTGACAATCTCATTGTCTGTGCATTTTCCTGTTGAGTGCATTTATAAAATAAGAACAATTTATTTTATTATATCAATGATATAATTTAGATTACATTTTTAACTTTTTTTAGGTAAATCTTCTGCTTCAGAGACTTTGTAACCAGACCCGGGTTCAGCTGCTTGCTGCTTGAAAGCCACACATAAGGGGTGAAGTTTGGTGGAAAAGCAGGTTTGATCAGAGAGCCAGCAAACTAAGAAGATGGTGAGCTAGCATTCTAAAGTATCATCTTAAATGTTGAAATTTACCATTTTTGTTTGTTGTTTGTTTTTTGGGACGGAGTCTCACTCTGTCACCCAGGCTGGAGTGCAGTGGTGCGATCTCGGCTCACTGCAACCTCTGCCTCCTGGGTTCAGGTGATTCTCCTGCCTCGGCCTCCTGAGTAGCTGGGACTACAGGCGCATGACACCACACCGGCTAATTTTTAGTATTTTTAGTAGAGATGGGATTTCACTGTGTTAGCCAGGATGATCTCGATCTTCTGACCTGGTGATCCATCCACCTCGGCCTCCCAAAGTGCTGATTACAGGCGTGAGCCACTGCACCCGGCTCACCATTGGGTTTTTAAAGGGAAATTTTCTATGGATGACATGCAAGAGTGGTGCGGAGTAAACGGTCTGTGTGTGGTATTCCTGATGGCTATCTTTAATAAGTGTCCATCTGCAGGTTTAGTGGCATTATTTTGACTTCATCTCGATGGTAATAGACTAATTATCTGTGACTCCCTCCAAGCAGAGGATTTGACAGGGGCTCCAGGCCTGGTTTGTTTCAAGATTAGCCTCTAGAATTTCTTCAGCATGCATTGCTGGAGAAGAGTGTCTAGAGAGAAGAGGAATGAAGAGGGGGAGAAATAGGAGGGAAAGAAGAAAAAGAAAGGGGATGATTAAAATGTATTTTTAGTCAGGGCATGGTGGCTCACGTCTATAATACTAGCAATTTGGGAGGCTGAGGTGGGAGGATTGCTTGAGGCTGAATGTTCAAGACCATCCTGGGCAACAAAATGAGACCCCTTCCCTATAAAAAATAAAAACAAATAGCGAGGGTGACAGAATGAGGCCTTGTCTCAAACAAACGAACAAAAAAATAGCCAGGCATGGTGGCACACACCTGTAGTCCCAGCTACTCAGGAGGCTGAGGAAGAAGGACTGCTTGAGCCCAGAAGGTCAAGACTCCAGTGAGCCTTGATTGTCCACTCCAACTTGAGCAACAGGCCATTTCTTAAAATAAATAAGTAAATAAATAAATATAATAAATATATACACACGCATACACACACACATATTTTTTTAAAACCAAGGTCCCCAGTTACAACTAGAGTCCAGAAATACGTTAAAACAAAACAATTCCTTCAAAAATTGCATTTCTGTTGCAATTTACAGAAGTTTTTTTACTTTAAATTTTGCACTCTCGCTTCAATTTTGCATTGTTCAAACTTCTCTCCTCCTTGACCTTACCTATTTGGGTTATAATTTACCTTAAGTATGAACTGTCTTATTGTACTTCACCTGATTATTTGTATAAAGTGCAACAAGAATAATTATTTACCATATAGCCTCCTTTTTCTTTTATTTTTATTTTTTGTTTAGTTTTTCCTTTTTTTTTTTTTTTTTTTTTTTGACAGGGTCTTACTCTATTGCCCAGGCTGGAGTGCAGTGATGCAATCACGGGTCACTGAGTTAAACTTCCTCAGGCTCAGGTGATCCTCCTACTTCAACCTCCTGAGTAGCTGGGATTACAGGTACACACCACCATACCTGGCTAACTTTTCTATTATTTGTAGAGACAAGGTTTCACCAAGTTGCCAAGCTGGTCTCGAACTCCTAGGCTCAAGCAGTCTGCCTACTTTAGCCTCACAAAGTGTTGGGATTATAGGTGTGAGCTACCACGCCTGGCTGGCCTCCTTTTCTTTTTTTTTTTTTAATTGGCTTTGCCGGAACATTTTATTTTAATAATGAATTTCAGATTAGACCTTTTAAAAGCCTCTCAAGTCCATCCAAGAATTTATCTGTCTGCAAATGTCTGCAAATAAATTAGACCTACTATGATTTTATCTTCAGTAAAATTGGGGAATTGGATAGAAAAATTATGTTTCAACATCTGTTGAAACATGTACATCTGTTACTGGATTCTAGACATCTTCATTATTTTTTCAGTTTGTATTATACTTTACAATTTGGACTGAATCCTGAATTTTCTTTCTGACTACAAGTCCCAAACTAACATTTTCAATATTTTTCTCCAATTTTTCTGAGTTGAAATCACTAGAAATTAAAACTGCATTTCTTTTTTTATTTTTTGAGATGGAGTCTCGCTCTGTCACCCAGGCTGGAGTGCAATGGTGTGATCTCGGCTCACTGCAAACTCCGCCTCCCAGGTTCACACCATTCCCCTGCCTCAGCCTGTAGCTGGGACTACAGGTTCCCACCACCACGCTGGACTAATTTTTTGTATTTTTAGTAGAGACGGAGTTTCACCGTGTTAGCCAGGACGGTCTCGATGTCCTGACCTCAAGTGATTTGCCCACCTCGGCCTCCCAAAGTGCTGGGATTACAGGCATGAGCCACTGTGCCCAGCCTAGGATTACATTTCAACATGAGATGTAGGTGGGAACACAGATCTAAACCATATCACCTATTAATAAGAAAAGAAAATAAACTATCATTTTAAATCACAATTTACTAAATAATTTTACCCATCTACTGTTGCTCAAATCATGTGAATTTTGTGGTTGATACTTTTGTTTTGTCTATACTATATGCTGTTATTATAGAAGTATAACTTTCCCTTCAAAAAGGCTGATATTGCTGCATCGATGAAGTGTCAAATTCTCTAAAATACTTAAAGAGATTTTTGCTGAGCCAAATATGAGTGATCATAGCCTGAGGCACATTCTCAAGAGATCCTGATAACATGTATCCAAGGTGGTGGGGTTACAGCTTGGTTTTATACATTTTGGGGAGATATAAGACATCAATTAATACATGTGAGGTATATATTGGTTTGGTCCAGAAATGTGGGACACTCAAAGTTGAGGTTTACAGGACAGAGACGGATTCAAAGATTTTCTGATTGGCAGTTTGTTGAAAGAGTTATTATCTAAAGACCTAGGATCAATAGAAAGGAGTGTCTGGGGTAAGATAAGAGGTTGTAGAGACCAAGGTTCTTATTATGTAGATGCAGTCTCATGGATAGCCACCCTTAGAGGCAATAAATGGCAAATATTTTCTATTCAGACATTTAAAAGGTGCTATACTTTCAGACAATCTCTTCAATATCAGAAAAAAACCTGAAAAGGAAAGGGGATTCTCTACAGAACGTAAACTTCCCCCCAAGAGATAGCTTTGCAGGACCATTTCTTTGAAATACATTTTGGAATAAAATATTTTGATCTCTTTCTGGGCCTGCTACCTGTCAGGCAATGTTATACTAGATTGAAATTAAAAGGTGGTATTTTATTGCTACAAAGAGTCAATTTTGTCAGGCATAACAACATTGTTTTAAAGTTAATGCTGGTCAATTGTGCCTGAATTTCAAAAGGAGGAGGGTATACTAAGGCATGTTCTACCAGCCCTTTCCATTATGGCCTAAACAAATTTTTTTTTTTTTTTTAAGGTTTCTTTGAAATCTTCTTGGCCAATAGGAGTTGTCTATTTAGTTGGTTAGGGGGCTTAGAATTCTGTTTTTGATTTACATTTCTCCTCTTTCTGGTCAAGATTTTCCAGAGGAAACATCTATGGCCAAACATTATTTGTCCAATACTGCTGCCAGGGTAGTGTGGCTGCCTGCCTTGGGTCCTTCCTGTCTGTCGGTGGGACCCCTCTGTCAAAGGGACTTAGAGATGAAAGACTTAAAGGCAACTTAAATGTTCTAGGCAAAATGGGAATGAAGGTGGACAGGTATTCATTAACCTTACAATTATTTAAGCCATATAAAAGCCAGAAATCAAAAGCCAAAGCCAAGATTACCAACTTGACTTATCTATAACTTATATGCACTGAGTTATTGTAATCCTGGTTTTAGTTATAGTCTTGTAGCAATTAACTATACAAAACATAAATATTTTGTTTAAAAGAGCTAAGGAATTCAACAACTTTTGTTGTACCATAATGCTTTTTGTGGTCTTCTTAGTAGTTTTTCCTGAGGAGGCTGATACATTTTATTAACATGTATCTGCATAAATCTCATAACTGGGAGCATTATACCTGGAAGATTTTTCCACTAAGTATCTTGATATTCTCTCAGTAATTTTTTTTTTTTTAATTTTATGAGAAGTAGGAAATTCCTTGTGGTTGGGATGGATGAAAATGTGCCAGATAACGACCCAAGGCAAAGTCCCTCATTTCACCAGCTGTTTAGGCATCTGTGTGCCCATCCTTGATTGTGAGGGTCTGAACTAATTATATCCCTCAAAACCAGTTTTTACAATCTCGCATGCCCACTTCTTTCATATACACCCTGGGCCTAGAGGGAGGATGTTTGCATAGATTGCAGCAGGGCATTGGAAGTGAAAAACAGATTGGGTCCAGTGGGATTCCAAATGAGGGGGATTGCCAGGCTTTGTGAAATCATGTCTAATCTTCAGAATGCCATGATTCTGGTTTTCTTGGAAGAAGCAAAACAATGAGAGATAAACAATATTAATAATTTGACAATCAAAAGAGAAATTGTGTGTTAGAACAGAAAAAGAAACCTATTTCATTAGGGTGCCAACCAAAAATGTCATGAAGAAAATTTTGACCTGGTTTGTCTTTAGAGGACAATTGTAGCCAAAAAATAATTCATGATTCAATCTACACACAAAAACAAGGGTCAGGGCTAGAATCTAGCAATAGGTGTGTTATAGTTTTCCTTTGAAACATAATATCTCTCTCTCTAGCTCTTCTTTTCTACTAAAGATAAATGATAGTAAGACCAATTTGTGTGCAAAATAAGTTTTAGGCTTACGATACTTGGACTGATTATTTGCCTAAAATGCAGCAAGAATTGTTTGGCCATATAGTCTCTTTTCCAGTTGATTTTGCTGGAACTTTGTTTAAGAATATGTTGTTCTAGTTGGCCGGGCGCGGTGGTTCACGCCTGTAATCCCAACACTTTGGGAAGCCAAGGCAGGAGGATCACGAGGTCAGAAGATCAAGACCATCCTGGCTAACACAGTGAAACCCTATCTGTACTAAAAAATACAAAAAATTAGCCGGGCATGGTGGCAGGCGCAGTCCCAGCTACTCGGGAGGCTGAGGCAGGAGAATGGCGTGAACCCGGGAGGCGGAGCTTGCAGTGACCCGAGATCGCACCACTGCACTGCACTCCAGCCTGGGCGACAGAGCGATACTCCGTCTCAAAAAAAAAAAAAAAAAAAAAAAAAAAAAGAATATGTTGTTCTAGTCAAGGCCTTGGTAAAATAACTAGTGTCTCCAATTGTGTCATGTTTCAAAAGAAAACAGTTACTGAAATTATACAAATAACCATGCTGCCATAAAAGAAGAATACTCACAAATAGTTTCCAAATTCTGGAGAACCCTGGTAGAAGAGTAAATCCTGCACACAAAAGTATACTTTACAACCAGAGTAGCAGCCTTCCAAACAGAATGTCGTTTATTCACCTTAGAACTGCCATCTACGAACCAAGTAGTTGCCATTGAGAGGTGCTCACTGGCTTCTGCCACAAGCCCCAGTAAACACTTCACAAAGGACTGCCAAATGAGTTTGTCCCTACCAGCAATCCAGCTTCTATCTTGTATTCTGTGGGCCTGGGCAATCTTACTGGTTCCCATTTGCATGTCCAATTAATATTAGTCAAATGGCAGACTTACATGCCTTCTGTTTTATAGTATAGGTAGGGGAAATACCCCCCTAGTCAGATACAGTATCCATTTTTATAAAACATTTAAGTAAAGAAGTCACAACTACTTCATATAAAGCCTGTTTAAACTTCATAACTTTCATAATTCTATCAACCCTTACATTTTTATGATCTGGTCTCAGTAGCTTTTCTTCTCTACCCCAAGACCATTTTACCTACACTTGTGAAAAAGTATTTGGGTTCCCGGCAGGGAGTTGAGCCTAGGGACTCAAGCCCTTTTGTCATTCTTTATCTTCACTTGCCTCAACATTGCCCCATGCAATGTCAGCTTTCTCACTGTAACCTATTCCTTTTAATTTTTCTTAAATTTCTTCATTCCAGAGTAAATGCACAAAACTGGTGTGGGGCCCTTTATTGTTGAGGGACCAGCTGGGGTTCCCTGTGGTCCATCTAACCTTCAATAGTGTTGTACTAAGACCTTGTTTTAACACTATACTCTTAATTTTATATATTTCATTTCTCAATAACTATCTAAAGATTTCCACTCTTCTGGGGTGAGTCCTTTGACTCCATTTGATCTTTGCCCCCGCCTTTTATTTATTTATTTATTTATTTATTTATTTATTTATTTGAGACAGAGTTTCTCTCTTGTTGCCCAGGCTGGAGTGCAATGGCACGATCTCTGCTCACCGCAACCTCCACCTCCCAGGTTCAAGCGGTTCTCCTGCCTCAGGCTCCCAAGTAGCTGGGATTACAGGCATGCACCACCACGCCCAGCTAATTTTGTATTTTTGGTAGAGACGGGGTTTCTCCATGTTGGCCAGGCTGGTCTTGAACTCCTGAACTCAGGTTATCCGCCTGCCTTGGCCTCCCAAAGTGCTGGGATTACAGGCATGAGCCACGGCACCCAATTTTTTTTGTTTTGTTTTGTTTTTCACTCTAATGTTTTATTAGTATCTATAAGACGAATGAGGGAGAGCTGCAATAGCAAATTTGATAAAGCTTCTCAAACTTCTGTTTAATTCTTCAGGAGTAATGCCACCTGGGGTGCTCATGTAGAAGGAGTTCCCTTAACCAGAGCACTTACCGTAACCTGGGTAATGGGCATATTCAGTGGGTAAATATCTCAGTCATCGTAAAGCCAGTCCCACATGGCTTGCATATGAAGCATATCAGCTGCTTCATCTGGGGTCCTCCACTTGGTTTTTATAGAGAGAGTTGGGCAGTCACCTTCTTAGGGCAAACAGACCTTCCAGTGGCTTTTCTCTGGTCAACCAGAGCTGGCTGTTCTATCAAGAATAACCTTCTGTGTTTCTGGATTGCATATACTCATCAGCAATTGTTTAATAGTGAGCTGTGGTTCCTGTATCAAGCCAAACGTGTTCTTTCATTCTGTAGCATTTAAAATTAAAGATACTTACCTTACATTATTTATTCTTACCATCCATTTTAGTAAAGGTTTCTCAAGAAGCTGATGATACCAACTTACAAAATTGAACAATTTCTTTATATTACACCCTCTGGTTTTAACAGTTCCTTGGTTTTGCCCTTCTGTTATAGCAGATAGTTAGTCAGACATGAGCAGGGCAAGAGAGGGATCCCCCACACTCCACCAGGAATATCAGGCAACCATCAGGTGATGATCGGGGGTTGATAAGTGTCTTTCTAAAATAATAATTGGTCACAGCTAGTGCCAGGGAAAGGCAGCCCCTCAATAGATAGAAACACCTGAAATTGGTGATCAGCAGCTTCCCAATAAGATATCAGGAGCTGGGCGAGTGAGCTAAAGCACGTGCATTTAGAAGCAAAATGGCCGGGCATGGTGGCCCATGCCTGTCATCCCAGCACTTTGGGAGGCCGAGGTAGGTGGATCACCTGAGGTCATCAGTTTGAGACCAGCCTGGCCAACATGGTGAAACCCCCTCTGTACTAAAAATACAAAAATAAGGCTGGTGTGGTGGCAGTCTCCTGTAATCCCAACTTCTTGGGAGGCTGAGGCAGGAGAATTACTTGAATCTGGGAGGCGGAGGTTGCAGTGAGCTGAGATTGTGCCATTGTACTCCAGCTGGGCAAAAAGAACAAAACTCTGTCAAAAAAAAAAAAAAAAAAAAGCAAAATGAATGATGGAGTTTAATTGCTATATGACCTACCAGGGACTTTGTCTGGTAAGGAAAGAATGCCTCAAATGTATATGCGTACAGCTCTAGTAAACACACTGTGCATGTGACCTCTTCCAAGTGCTGGCAGGACAGGGTGCATATGCACAGCCCACCTCGAGGGAAGAATCAGGGAAGAAGGGACCCCAGAAGTATGCCAACATATGAAACCCTGAGTCAAAGGTCAAACTATGCACTTGATCTCTCGAGTCATCCATTGGCCCTCTTCCAAGTGTACTTTACTTCCTTTCATTCATGCTCTAAAGCTTTTTAATAAACTTTGCTCCTGCTCTAAATCTTGCCTCAGTCTCTCTTTATGGCTTACCCCTCCTTGGTCAAATTCTTTCCTCTGAGTAGGCAAGAATTGAGGTTGCTGCAGACCTATATGGATCCACTGTTGGTAACATTTTCCCCACATTGACCACCTTCTTGGTAATCACAAGTGTCAGAGGTACTTTCTGTTGACCTGGCTTAATTTTTCCTTCTGTGCCTAGCTTTGAAGTGAGTGATCTGAGCTCAGACAGCACCACATCTAACTTTGGTCCTGCCTTAAGGCCCAACACAATATTGTTTCACATTTATTTTAGCTATTATAGATAAGTATAACCAAGGGATTGAATATTTTGCTTTTTACATATTAGTTTGCATTTTCTTATGCATCCTGTGAACCAACTCCTCAGAAGTATAACCAATCTCTAAATTCCCCTGGATCTTCTATCTTTAATAATTGAATGAAGCCCAGATGCTGCTCCAGTACTATAGGTGACAGTGTGGCCATCCAGAAATCAAAGGTTCTTTATTCCCACCCTTTTATTTTTCATCTTTTTATTCATTTAGTTTTACCTGTATCATTTTTTCTTTATTTTAAAGCAAACTTTAAATAGCCTCTAAACTAGAAAAAAATTACATTTTCTTTAGCAAAAACAACATTCTCATATTTTTTTATAAACTTCACCAAGAACAAATCTTACTAGCCTACTATTTTAACTCTTGGTAACTCTAATTCCCAGTGGGGGAAAAAAAAAAAAACTAGATTTACTTAATTTAACGTAATATAACTTAAAGGTTTTAAATTAATAGAGATAATTTTGAGACTAAATTACTCTTACCAAAGATAACCGAAGTCATGTGAACAAAAGGCCATCTGAGCTAGCTTCTATTAGTCTGTTTACTTTTCTTTAAACCAATTAATTGAAGCTCTTTCATAAAATGTGGTAGTGAAATATCATTTCCACATGACACATATAAACATATAGAAATGACAGGCCCATAGACAGTGGCAGATCTTACAGATTTGAGATTTTTCATTTGCCTGTTTTCATAACTTTTACCTGCTCTGTTAGACTGTTAATCTCTTGATTATCTGTTCTATGTTCTAAACAATTGTTGACTAGGCAACTCTAAATCTGCATCTCCAAAGACATGAGTTAGGTGAAACAAAGTAAAAAATTCACATGTTAAAGGCACAGACTTAGATCTAAACCAAGGCAAGGTCTATTATGTAAACTTTAAGCCACTGTCTTCCCCATAGTTAAAATTCCTAACCCTTACTCTCCTACTTTCCACTAGGCACACTCCCTTGAATTGCTAGCTTATCTAATTATGTTTGCTTAGAGAAGTTTCAGAGACTGAATCTTTAGACAATCCAGATGCCTATGGAATTCTCCCCCACCAGGAGATTACTTCAAGGCTGCAGCTAATTTACCACACAGCAAAGCCTGAGATGGTGCCAGCCCATTCACCAGATGGGGCAATAACTCAAGATAAGTCATCTGAACAAGTCACAGAGCTCCACTGCTTTGCTCCACTGCTTGCCCTCCACACCATACTTCCCCTTCTTAAATCCTGGGATTTTGCCTGAGAATTCTGAAGCAGTTTTATTAGTGTCCGAACGACTTCCCCACTGCAAGCTTTGGAAAATAAAGTCACTTTTCTTCTATTACACCCCATCCCTATTATTTGATTTTGCAAGCGTTGAACAGCTGAACCTGCATTTGGTTATGTTTGTAGTGAAGAAACCTCTTTATAATTAAAAACAGAAAGATGTGTTTTTGCTGTTCTGCCTCAGTATTTCTGGAAAAATCAAGTGTCTATGTTCTAAGAAAGGCAGAGCAAAATAGGAAGGTACGCAATTTAATGATTTTTCATAGAATCTTAAGTTTTTATATGTTGGATTATCTTTAAAATATAAAAATTATCATCATCATAAAGCCTTTTATTTGAATAGCTTTTTATTTCATTTGTTTCTTTATGGCTACCTTATAGAGTGATTGGCATCATTGCTATTTCACATGAGAGAGGGCCATGACTCATAATTTAGGGGCATAAAAATTATTTGAGGTCTCAAATATTAGAATATTTACTTTATACAAATATGTGAAAATGAATTTATATAAGAACATATCCATTCCCCCAAAGTACGTCCAAATTTACAGGGTCATTAAGTTAAGAGAATTTCCAGTATTAGTTCCATAATCTGCAAAAAATCAATTCTGCAGTGAAGCATGAAAAAATAACATAATTTTCCTTCTCTCCAAAAATACCCAGGCAGTTTTGTTTATTCTCTTCCCTGTCCCAACCCCCAATCCCAGGCTATATCTCAGAACAATTTATTGGTATATATTTTTTGGAAATACACTGCTACTATTGCATTATTTTTCCATTTTGATAGCGTGTGGGACATAGGCTCTTGGCCCCATAAAGTTTCCCTAAAAATCACTGACATGAGGCAGATTGATTAATAGGAGTAAAGCCATGCAATATATTTTTAACATATATAAATGAGAATCTTCAGAATGAAAACCCCACTTCCCAATGAGTTACAAAAAAAATTTTGAAGTTACAGAAAAAAAAAATGTGGGCTTAAACCCTAGTAAAACTTTTTAGGGGAGAGAGAAGAAGCTTAGCAAGCAAAGGTGGCCTTGTTACGTAGATGAAATCTACCTCAGAAAAAAATAAATGATAAATGTTTCTTTGTAGACTTGTAAAAGTGTCTGACTTTTAATCTCTCCTGGATCTTTGGAAAGGCATAGAAAGGGGCAGGGGAATGGCTGCATTCACGGAGATTCTCTACAGCTGCAAATTTTCCCCGCTTAACACAGCTTTTGCAGGACCACTTCTGCCAGGAAATAGCTAAGAGGTAGCTATTTCAAAATAGGTCAAATAAATATATTTTGGGGTAAAATATTTTAATTCCCTTCAATAGCTAATTAGTCTTTTATAATGTTATGGAAAAGTATATAGTTGTGTGTGTGTGAATGGTAAAATGAATTTATAGGATTCCACTATGATTGGATATAGTGAATAAAGTGAAGTCATTGGACTAGAAGTTCTTTCAGGCCCTTTTCAGTTACACCCATTGTAAGTTTTTACTTTCTTGGTTTTTTAAAAAACATTATTTAAACTAAGATATTAGGTGATTAAAAGTTCATTGGAATATAATATCAAAGTTAATAGCTACTTTAACTAAAGGATAGTATGTACTGAACAGAGAAGAATGACAGAAATAGCACTGGTAGTTCCATGGATGAGAATAAGATGATAAAACACTATTATTCCTGCTGAAACTAATTACTATTCCCTCAATTACCAGTTTAAAAATATACCCCCAAGCATTTTACTAACAATTTTCATAAATGATATTAAAGCCTATTCAACTTTCCTGGAACAACTAATGAGAAACTTGTTCCATTAAAACAATAAAAACATATTTTTCTACAGTGATTATTAATGTGAAACTTTAGTTAATTTAGTTGCGCAGTTTTTATGATGAGAAGAAACCATTTTTCAAAAATTATAACTGAGGAAATTCTTATAGTGAAAGAGATCAGACCTAATTGACTCCATCTTGCTTTTAACCTTCAAACTGTCATTGTTCATTCGAGGGCATAGGTGGAACTAATCTTGGGAAGGAATTTAGTTTATGGGTTGACTCTGAAACAAAATTGATAATATCCTTTTTCTGAAAAGTCCCTGTTCTTGCCTGGGGACCAGTTTGCCTTTGTAGGACTAACAAATTAGCTACAAGATTAGAAATTATGGTTTAAGGGTCAGGCAGCCTCTGGCTACAAGAGTCTGAACCTGTCCAAATTGCTCCTGGGGATAACATTATTATTGTAAAACCTAAGATCAGTGCTTGAGACATTTTGCAGACCCTGCACTGGATGGATAAGCTTACACCACCCAGACTGGTAATCTGGGCCAACCAGTTGAGCAATCCCACCCAGGAATAGAGGACAGCAATGATTCCATCTCCAACCTGACCAATCAGCACTCTCCACTTCCTGAGCCCCTACCTGCCAAAATATCTTTAAAAACTCCCATATCTGAATGCTTGGGGAGACGGATTTGAGTAATAATAAAACTCTGGTCTCCCACACATCCAGCTTTGTGTGAATTGCCCTTTCTCCATTGCAATTACCCTGTCTTGATAAATGGGCTCTGTCTAGGCAGTGGGCAAGGTGACCCCGTTGGACAGTTAAAAGAATGATGCCTAATTTCTCTAAAAGAGTTTTCTACTCTTTTTCATATTTTAACCTTCTCATTCTATGTGTGATTTCTTTCCTTGTCTTATTTCTTTCATTTATAAATTGACTTTTACTATGAAGAAAATTCAGTGTAAATTATATTCAATCTGGCTCATCAATCTTCAAGATTATATAAAATATACTGCTCATTAAAGTTGCTGAGAAGTTACATTTTCAGGCTATTTTGTAAAATTATGTAGAGAACAACTTATCCAAATATATACAAACATATTTGATTAGAAATTTACTCAGGCAGGATTTTAAGTTTTTGTTGGATTTCCTTTAAAATTATGAAATATTTGCGGGGATGTAATCCTTTACTCTCTTCTCAAAGATCTTAATCCCAGAGAAGTAAATTATATTACCAGAGACAAGAGATGAGTAAATAGCAGATCAGCAATTAGATATGCTTTCATACATAGCCCACATTCTGGGTCCTTTTTCGGTACAGTATAAAACATATATTCAAGCTCAGCACCTACTACTTATTATTTAATGGGAACAATAGAGACAAAATTACTGGTACAGAATAAGAGATTAG
The DNA here is from genome assembly GCF_000001405.40 of Homo sapiens. NCBI lineage: Eukaryota > Metazoa > Chordata > Mammalia > Primates > Hominidae > Homo > Homo sapiens. The sequence continues at coordinate 85,818,257 of NC_000005.10, forward strand.
ATTCATTGCAATGACTTTAACTATATTGTATCTAAAATTCTTCTAAAGAGGTCTAGAAATTATCTTTAAAATGGTACAATTAACAATTATTTTATAATCTGCATTCATTTTGCACAGAGGACTTAAATAATCCACTTATGAATTGCTTGAAAGTATTTTACTATGTAAAATAAATATACCACATGCTTTAATTAAAATTAAAAATATGTTCTAAACTGTTAATATTTTCCTAGATTAAGTTTTGCTGTAGCTGTGGAGAATAAAAGAAGAATTTGGCCAACCACAGTGGCTCATGCCTGTAATCCCAGCACTTTGGGAGGCCAAGGTAGGCAGATTGCTTAAACCCAGGAGTTTGAGACCAACCTGGGCAACATAGCTAGAACCCATCTCTACTAAAAATAAAATAAATTAGCCCGGCATGGTGGCTCACACCTGTGGTCCCAGCTACTTGTTACCGGTGGAAGGTATTCGAGTTACTGGTGGTGAATTTGTATGGGTCTGCAGCAACCTCAATTCTTGCCTCCTCAGGAGAAAGAATTCAACTGAGGAACATAAGGCACAAAACGAGACTGAGACAACTTTTAGAGCAGGAGTGGAAGTTTATTTTAAAAGGCTTTAGAACAGGAAAAATAGGAAAGTATGCTTGGAAGAGACCCAAGTGAGCACCAAGGTTAAGTGCCCTGTTTAACCTTGATATTAAAACTTTATAGGCTGGCCCCTTTCCCATGATTCTTCCCTGTGAGCTGCCTCCATCCTCAGTGCCCTTCTTACCCTTAGGAGGAGGTGAGCATGCTCAGTGTGTTTAGGAAGTTGTGTGCATGCCCATTTGAGGCTTTTTTTTTTCCCCTTCTTCTGTCATGATCCCCTGGAAGGTCATATTCCATCATTTTGTCTCTTAATGCACCTACCCCGGAAGTTGCTTCTCTCTGGCATCTGCATTCACCAATTAATGCTGGTGCAACAGGTGTGGATCATCAGGACTGGCTGCCAATTTATCACTTCTAGAGAGGCAATGTGATAATTGCCAAACCACCACTGGACATTCCTAGTGGGTGGGGAAGAACCCTCTCCTGCCTCGCTCATGCCTGTCTAACAACCCGTACATACTCAGCAGGGGTAGGCAGGAGGATTGCTTGAGCCTGGGAAGTCAAGGCTGCAGAGAAAATATATGTCCAATAAAATGTATTTATAAAGAAAAAGGATCAACATTAAAATAAAGAGTTGCTTTAGCATTCATAAAATCAATTTTACAAAAATCCACATTTGAGTATTTTTATTCTTTTAGACGCTTGATTTAATTCATGTCTTTGTTTCAGAAATGTAATAATTTCTACTAATGTAAAGATCAGGGCACCAAGTATTTTAAGATTTCTGCTGAAATAAATGTAATATTAGTCTTTTTTTTTCTTTTTTTTGAAGACATAAAAATGGCCTATACTAGCGCTCTGGATAAGGTCTAATAGTTTCAAAAATATGAGTACTTGGATATATAGTTAGAAAATTAAGATTAGGGAAAAATAGAAAATGAACTATAACATTTTTTACTGCAATTTCTTCCTTCAAATGTAAAGCTAGTAAAGCATTCTTGCCTTTCCCAAATGATAAATATTCTATTTGTGAGTCTGTGGATGTCCACATGTCCACGTCTTTCTATGTGTAAATGCTAATTTTACTTATAAAAATAATGTATCAAAGTCCTCAATTTTTAAATTTAACATAAAACATTAGGTAAATTAATTTCTAGAACAGTATGTATATAGCTTTACCTCAAAATATTTGTTGGTTAAATGTATAACTTAACCTACAAAATTCACTAATGAATACATGTACAATGATCAATTTAGTCACTAAAGATATTCAAATAAGTTGTTCTTATTTTGGAACTATCACTTGCAATGCAGTGAGATAAAAGAAACTGAGTTACCAGCCATCACTTGAAATTTCCAATTAAACTTTGGCATGTGGAAAATTGGCCTCTGTTACAGTATTGCTGATGTCCACTGGAACTTCAAAAAATATATACTTATTGGTAATAGTGATACATAAATGCAATTGAAATAAGGTCTTTTGCAAGGTACTTTGCTTGGGTGGGGTTGAGAGTTGTTAAAACCTGTTAACACAATCTGAAAGCCAAGATAAAATCAAATGTCTTATGCCAGTTTTAGTGACATTCAAATGTTGCACCCATGGCAGAATTTGAAGAGGAGAGTAGTGTAAAATAGATTTTTTTTTTTTTTTTTGAGACAGAGTTTCACTCTGTTGCCCAGGCTGGAGTGTGGTGGTGCGATCTCGGCCCACTGCAACCTCCACCTCCCAGGTTCAAGCGAACCTCCTGCCTCAGCTCCCCTAGTAGCTGGGATTACAGGTACATGCCACCATGCCTGACTAATTTTTGTATTTTTAGTAGAAGCAGGGTTTCACCATGTTGGCCAGGCTGGTCTCGAACTCCTGACCTCAGGTGATCCACCTGCCTGAGCCTCCCAAAGTGCTGGGATTACAGGTGTGAGCCACCGCTCCCGGCCTAGATTTCTTAATTAAAGCGAAGCTCAGTAGTAAAAATCCTTTCATGCCAGCAAAATGCAAACCAATTTTTGAAAGTGTGCCAAGCAAACAAACAGCCGAGAGTGAAACAAATTTTAATCCTACTCTGCCATAACAAAGAAGATCAGGCTGTGGCACTTTTAGAGTTAATTTCAAGATAAACTATTTACAGAGCTTTTGTGTTTTTTTTGTCATTTAGAAATCAACATTACAGGGAGAAGTGAGTCCATACCCATCTTTGGACTTCTGTAACTTAGCTTTTACCACTCAATTTACATTTAACACCAAGTCTCAGATTATTTAGGTAAGATGTAACCATTCAACAATCTGGAGTTAATATTATTGTACATTACTATTGTAAAAATAAAGAGTTATTTTTAACTTAAAATGCCTTAAATAGGGTTAGATAAGAGCATCTTGAAAGGCAGAACAGAATAAATGACAACATAGTAGCTGGAAAGAAGTAGAAATGGCTTAGTTCAGAAGTGTTTATATTTTTGTTTTTCTCTTATCCTCTTGTATTTAATGGAATAGAGAGTATACAGGATGCAATGAAAGATACATCAACACCGATTCAGAAGAAATGAAAACAAAGCAATTAGTCACAATAATATAACACAATTCTACATCATGGAAAATTTGGAGCTGGAAACGTGGCAGAGACATCAGGTAATGAAACCATTTTCCATAGCCTCAGTGGACGTTAGAATGCTGTTAGATATTTATAAACGTATGTTTTGCCTGGAAGGAGTCTCCGTTTTCGACAAATATTCTGAAGTATATACATACAATAAATGTGTTAATCATTTTTTTTCAGCCCTTCTCATTAACCTTTCCTCTACAGAGTACTGAATTGACCCATCTAATTTATTTTCCTCCACAGTCACTCAAGAAGCATTCTTCCATTTCTTGGCTAGTAATTTGGACTTTTTTGATGTCTAGGCAGTAGGATAAGAGGTTAATTTGAAAGAGAAGGACGGCATTAAGGCTAGAGCTCAGACAGAATTGATTTTGAGAATGTTTTATAAAGTTATAGAATAAGGTATATGAAAAAGTAGATGGTGGAATCATTATTACGGCAGGCTATGTATGTTGCCTTTTCACCACCTAAACAATCAAAAACAGTATTCATTTTTTTCTCTAAATTGCATTTTGGTGGTAAATGGGATGTGTTTTTAACCAAGAAGCACTCTGACATAGAAAAAGAAATGTGATGTCCTGTTTTCAATAGGAAATGTATACAGTATGCACATATATTTGTGTATTCTTCTGAAATCAGTTTATCTTTATATCCATATTTACATCCTTAAACATATCAATATTTTATACCTCTGACACAGTTTGAAAGTGATTAAAGTTTGCAGCACGTATAGTTTATTGGGTTGCAACTATAAAATAATTATTTTCAGATTTGTAAGATGACGATAAAAAATGTAATGCATGTTTATAAAATGTTCACCGTAAATTAGGCCCTTTACTTACATTCCTTTCACTTCTTTATAATAACTAATAATATTGCCTTCATTTAAGTGGCTCACACATAGTGTGTGACTCACTCACTATTTGTATTCCTGTGTGAAGTACAAATATATATATATATGTTAACTTCCCAAATAAAATATTTCATTGAGAGAAGATAGTGAATTAAATGGATTTTTTATTACAGGCAACATCTAAGCTAGCAAAAACAGGATGAGTAATTGATTAAACTGTTTGATTCCTTAAGAAAAAGTATGCATGCAAGTACAGTACCTTATTCTCCATAGTTTTTAACATTCGTATCCAGTAAAACTTCAAATCTTATTTATAAGGAAGTAGATTAGAAACCTTTAATATATTGTAGGTATTCTTTAAAAATCAATTCTTCCTCCTTCACTTTCCCTCCAAAACAAACTTTGATTTGCAAAACTTAGTAATAAGTAATCACCATTTATTTGCTGCTATGAAAAATAACTAAAAATATGATATTTTGACCTTTTAAAATATCAAATCATTTATTCTAACCTTTCAGAAATCAAATTTGTCACACTATATTTGAAAAATAACATAGAACTATAATTTCAGTTACATTTATTGTACACTCTGAATCTCATTTCAAGAGAAAATTAACTAATGTGGGAGTAAACACTGCCTACTACTGCCCTAAGTTTAACCTCTTTTGATATATTCATCAATCTGTTAATTATTATTCATCAAAAGTACTGTGTGATTAGAGAGATTAGAAAAATAGGGCCAGAGAACCCACAATAGCAGCAATAGAGACAACAGCAGTAAGATCACCAGCTGTTACTACCCCTGCTATAATTTATATTTGTGATTCTGAAAATAACAGAGAAGCTTACAAAAAAGCAGAGAGATGTAACTGTGGTGAATTTATTTTTCAAGAGTAGATTTTTCATCTTTAGAAAAAATAGATTTTGCTTAGATTGAAAGAAGAAAAATGTAAGTGAATAATGAATAAAATATGGATGCAGTTAAATTAAACAAGCCCTTAAGGTGAACCAATTCCATCCTAACTTAAAAATCTTTACTAGGTTTGTTTGCCTGTCCTACTACAGGACCAAGTAATAACATGAACCAACAAATATTATATTTTAATAATTATAATGAGAAAACCTCTTACCCTATTTCACATACGTTGGTGTGCTATGTGTGGATCAGCTTGATCTTTCCCGTGCTTTTTAAGCCTTTTTTACAGTGGCTCTAGAGTATTTCTTCCTTTAGAGTTAGTTTAGTCTAGTGTGGGTCTAGACTAGTCTTTTTACAGTGGGTCTAGAGTAGTCTTTCCTTTAGAGTTAGTTTAGTCCCTGTAACATGATGAAGCCCTTTGGAAGCATCTACTAAGTGCCCCAAATACGCCACAATGTTTTTCTACTCTAGGTAATAAATCAAAATGATTCACAGCCCTGGGGTGCTCAGGGAATTTTCCAGCTTATGGCTTCCCAGACATTGTCTTTTTCATTGTAGTTGTGCTTTGTCTGGCCTCCTAAAGTTAAACTTAATGAATGTAGAGATTGATATTCAGACAAAGATAGTGGAGGCTTTTAAGCAGATTCAAGTTATTTCCCTGCATTGATCTCTCCAGTACTCTGCCCCAACAATTCCAGTTGCCACACCCTCCTTTAAATGAAATTTAGGTCTCTTTACCTTGCCAAAATTACTCATCTCCTCTTGCCATGACCATGCAATTATCTCCAGGCAGAAAGCCAGGGTGATGGGAGGGCTTATCTCATAGTTGTCCTCCTCTCAGAGATCACTCCTGCCCTGCCGGTTGTCAAATACCTAAAAGCAATGGTCTTATCTATTTTCTCCAGTTTTATAGTTGTTTCATGTGTGAGGGCAAGTCCCATACAATTACTCCTTCATAGATGAAAATTTGGCCGTGGCCTGGGTTCTCCAGTACCTGCCTGCAGCTCGTCGGTTTCACTGTTTTAGCAGCTGTGCTTCATGAGTCTTACAGTCCCAAGGTCCCAGCCTTCTACCAGCATTTTAATTGACATATTCACCAAGTCAAAGAGGCTTCAGAAGGCAGATAAACTCTTAGACATATTTTTCTCTGATTTCTTAATTCTTTAAGTTCCACTGCCTCCATAGTTCTTTGGCTTCAAATGCCTGAATTTTATGTAAATATTTTACTTTTTTTTTTACTCTTAACCCTTGGTCTTCCTTTAGCTATTCCATTTCACTTGAAAGCAGTTCTTTTCTCTATTTTCAAACTAACTTCCCATCCTCTGGAATTTAACCAGACTTATTTTTCACAACCTCATTAAACCTAGGAAAACACTGTGTATAATTGAATGAACATTTTACAAATGTGTAAGAAATAAACTATATTATTATAGTTGTGGGCATTTGGAAAAGGAAATAAATTAGTTAATATTGTACACATGGACTATATATATACATATCTTTTTACTATTTAACTTTTTACAACAAACACATTATTTTATTAAATAGGTGCTTTTAAAATCCAATAAAATAAATTGCAAATAATAATTGACAGCATATTACCTATGGATAAATTCTAAGCTTCATAAGTATCACCCAGTTAACACTTGGTGTGGCTGGTCAGTCTCTCTCCAGTGTCACCTCTGACTACATTCTGCCTCCAACTTTGCACTCCAGAAACAAGAAAACAATTCTAATGTCTTGCATGTGGCATATGAATTATTGCTTGTGCTCTCCCCTAATCCTCTAATGTATGTTCAAAAGCAATCTCTGCTTAAAGTTTCTCTCCCATCGCACTAAGTCTGGGCCATTTTTACAAAATTTATCACTATCAAAACTATCAGATTGCTTTTTTTTTTCTAGCATGTGTTTAAGCTACCCAGTGTTAGTAATAGTGGGCATCTTTTAACTTTAATATTTGAGAATCACTGTAGCTAGTCTTATCTCTTGCAGATATTAGGGAGGCATTTTGTGGAATTGAGTTAATTTACAATAATCAAAATCCTTGTAATTCCCATGTAAATAATACTTTGATGGTGAAAGAAATAGTTATATACAGAAAAAAATAGGTGTTAGAATAAAGCATCTTGGCTCCCATATTTGCCTGAAGAACAGCCTCTGATATATAAAAGTATATTGATATGTTGTAATTTATTTTCGTAAATTCCCAATTTCCTCCAAAGATATGATTTAGATACTGTGAAGAATATAGTCTCTAGGGTCTATTGAGCAGACATTATGGGATTATGTATTTCTTAAAAATAACACTCAAATATAATTGTAGTAGAAATTGGAAAGTTGAAAAAGTAATTAGACTAACATAATTACTTTGAACATAATCTCATCGCATTTGGGAAAATACAGACTCTATGAAACAATAATTCATATGCTGTATTTATTTTCTAAATAGACTATCAGTTTATACAGAATGAGTATGATTTACGTATTTTGAAGGCAGTGCTTGCCATCAACAGTGTCTATATAGCACCTTGAATACCAATCACTTTATGCGAGTTTAAATAGATTGTGGTTTAATTAACTTTCTGCCTAGCTAAGTTTAGCTTTTCTAAACTAAACCAATTTAGAAAATACTGGGTCTTAGCCACTGCCAAGGACCTCAATTATATCAGTTGTTTGTTACTCCGTAATATTTGAAATTTGGGAGATCTATGGTTTATATTCATAAATGTCCAAATTTATTGCAACGATAAACACTTTTAAATATTATTATTATTATTTGAGATGGGGTCTCCCTTTGTCACCCAGGCTGGAGTGTAGTGGTGCGATCACGACTCACTGCATCCTTGCCCTCCTTAGGCTCAGGTGATCCTCCCACCTCAGCCTCCCAAGTAGCTGGTTCTACAGGCATGTGCCACCACACCAGGTGAATTTTTGCATTTTTTTAGAGACAGGGTCTCCTCATGTTACCCAGGTTAGTCTCTAAGGGTCATGAAGAAAACAGAAATAGAAATGTGTTGTTATTATTTTTTAACCTTGTATTAATTTAAAGCTGTCTAAACATGGTTAATATTGAAAAACCAATTTAATTTGTTCATTTTATCAAGAAAAATATGCTACAATTAATAAAAATAGTTTATTACACATGAAGGAAGATTCAAGTTATTACAATTATAGAATTATGAAAAATTCAAAAATTATAAAATTAGATTAGATGATACCTTTCTAACATCCATTAACATTTCCTTATTTATATATATTACATAAACATTACATAAAATATGTAATAACAAAAAATATATATATTTCTGTATGTTAAATGCTTCATATCAGAAAGATTTTAAAATAGCTTTTGGGTGACAGAGAGAAATTTTGAAGACAGGCTACTTAGGAGAGCTAATTATTTAACAGACAATTGCATGATGCAAAGGACTAAGATAGTAAGAGATCTGTGGAAGAGTGAGAAAGTAGGAAGTCTTTCATAAAAAAACAGCAAGTCACTGGGACAACCGTTTGCTTGCATATTCCATAAACACATACCAAAATCTCTACAAAAAATGATTGTATTTTAGCTACAAAAGTTTTTTTTTCCTTCTAACTAGCCAGATATTTTCTCTTTAGTTGTACTTTGTGTTTATATTTTATCAAAGTCTAATTTCCTTCGGTCCCTGAGCTTTTCAAATGAAGTATACTGCCTTCATTTATCTCTCAGGTCACCACATTTAATGGTGGACAAAATTTATACTACCATCTGATAATATCTGCAATCTACCTTATCCTTCAATCTCATCAAAGACCTGTTGACTCTCTCATTTTATTTTACTTTCAACTATCTAAACTACAATTTACTTAAAGAGAGAATTTAAATGTAAATTTCTTTTTTTTCATGAATTTTTTAATTTTGGACACTTCTTATCTCTGAAGGCCTATCTCTCACGGTGTTTCACAGGAGTGACCAAGATGTCCAGGATAAAATAGTATGTTCTTATTGTTCATTAGGATAGTTGGATTTAGAAATGGGTGCATGTATCAAAACAAAAATGTCTAAGCAGTGTAATTCCCGAGTTCAAGCGATTCTCCTGCCTCAGCCTCCCGAGTAGCTGGGATTACAGGCGCATGCCATCATGCCCAGCTAATTTTTTCTACTTTTAGTAGAGACGGGGTTTCACCATCCTTGTGATCTGCCTGCTTTGGCCTCCCAAAGTTCTGGGATTAGAGGCGTGAGCCACCACACCTGGCCAGATTTTACATTAATTAAAATATTTTATCTTAATAAAAACCCTATGATGTGCATCTAATTATTATCACTATTATAGGTATCTATAATGAAATATAGAGACATCTTTCAAGCAGCAAGGTGTCTGATATCAATTCATGTAGTTTGGCTCCTGAGTCTGCATACTTAATTACTTTCTCTGCAGCCTTTAATATCATCGATATATATCTTTGGTCAATATAATTAAACTATTTTTCTCTTTCTAGTTATTCATTACAAAACATCACCGGAGTTTTTTCTGTGAATATTGGCCACACTCTAAATTTGCATACCTTCAATGAAGTATGAATTTTTCTCATCTAATCTACCTTATTATGGTAAATGTCTTTGCCCTTTCTACATCAGGGTTGTGACTTCAGCTGAAAAACAAGGTGCTGTGATTTATCCCAAAACCATTGATAACCTTAACAATCATTACAATTTTCAATAGTTATAAATATCATCCAGAAGAAACCTTATAGATATATTCTACTCATTTATGCCATCACAAATAGTAGAAAGACGAACATGTCCAACATGTTTAGTGTGGCTGGTGACTCAAGTGAGATGGTAAGACAACTAATCTTTGAATCTAGTAGTTTGGAGACCATTGACGATATTGATAAAAGCTAATTTGGTTGACCATTGGAGACAGACCATAAACAGAGTGAGTTCAAGAGCAAATTAGAAGAGAGGAATCAGAGACAACAGAAAAACAAAACAAAACAAAACACCACATCTAAGGAACTGAGCTGCAATATGAAGAAATCAAACTTGGTTTCTGGAGGGTAAAGTGTAATTGAAAAAGATTATTTGTTTTAATGACAGTACATATGTACGTTGATTGGTACAATCTAATAAAAAGATGAAAAGTAATGGTGTAAAACTAAGAAGGCTTAATTGCTGAAACCATATTTTTGACTAGACAAGAGGTGAAGGGTTTTAACTGCACGAAATAAAAGGTTGACCATAGCTAGATGCATTGCCAGTTTATTCTCAACAAAAGAAAGAGCACAGCATGAAAGTACTGGTCCCAAATCAAAGTACTTTTGCAGTACTTGTGGTGGCAATGTGTGGAGTTCTTATTTGATTGTTTATATTTTTTCAGAGAAATAGAATGTGATGAGCTACTAGGAGAAATGTTGTGGAAGAAATATTAGATGTTTGAGGAAATAAAAGAAATAGTCAAAGATTGTGGGGAGATGAATGGATTAAGCAAATATGATGTGACTTTTGGACAGCATTATAATCTCATCAAGGGTTAGAATCAAGAATTTAAAATGAGAATAGCCAGCAGAGATCTGTATTTTTCTCTAGCCACATTGCTCTGTATGTGTATAGACATGAAGGAAGATATGAAGTGGATACTGTTAGACTTTCAGATATCTATAATCTGTGCTGATGCCTAAAAATTTAATAATCATAGCTTTAAAAAATTGTACTTACCAAGTAAATTTTCCAAAAACTTTACCTATATAAATCCTTTAATCTTCAAAGCAACCCATTAGGTTGACAAGATTATTTCTCTTAATTTTACATGAATAAGATGACATGAGTAGGTTAAAAAACATGCCCAAATCACACAGCTAATAGAGACAGAACATAACTTTTAAACTATACGCTGTTATATTACCTATTTTTATATTGTTTTACTTTCTCATCTTTTGTTAATAATATCTTGAAGCATCAGCTTTTTAGGGGTATTAGTACTGCTGTTAGGCCTGTCTAAAGTCCAACTTATCAATCTTGCCAAATTATATATGGGAAACAAAAGGACTGTCACTTTTGGTAATGATCTTTTGTTAAACCCAGTGACTTGTCTTTATTGTTGTCAGAAGAAGAGAAAGAATAATAAAATTTCAGCAACAATTCTTAATATTTTATAAAGAATCACTGATTTTGATAGAACCTCAGTAGGCAAAGGAAAATGTGTGGTTTCATGATCTATAATATATCACTCTGTATTAATTTTGTAGTTACCTTTTTCACAACTTGTTTTCAGGCTGTTCCACATTAGTCTATTTGCTAATGCATCCTCATCTTTCTATCCTCTTAACATTGGCATGTCTCAGGATTCAATACTTATACCACTTCTTATTTTTGTCTTCACTTAACCCTTATATGATCTCATTAAATCTACAGCTTTAAGTGTCATTTGTATTAGTTAATCAAGTGTATTAAACCCTGGTTCTAACGTCCTAACACAGCACACTCTTACTCTCCTTTCTCATCTAACACATGCAATACAGGTTAATAGATTGTGTCTGCTTATTGAAGATACTGCTTATTGAAGTGTAGGTTTATTCACTATCTCAAAACCATCATCTCAGAATGAGGCTTTAAGGGTGTGTCAAAGCATGGGAATATAACATGAAGAATTATGTTCTGACTTGGATTGCTTCTAACCAAAGGTGACACATATAAGTTCCATTCAAATATTGTTAGCTAACAGAAGTCATGTGGACATATCTAATTTGAAGTCAGCAAGTAGTATTATCCCTTATGTTTAGGGAGGGGAAGAGAACTGGAAATATTGGTAAATATTAGTAATGCTTACCATGTCCAGATAAATAGTAATAACTTGTGAATTTGTATCTTTAGACTTGACTTTTACATGTAACTCTTTTTGTTTGTTTGTTTTGAGACAGAGTCTCACTCTGTAGCCCAAGCTGGAGTGCAGTGGTGTGATCTCGGCTCATTGCAACCTTCACCCTTGCGTTCAAGCGATTCTCCTGCCTCAGCCTCCCAAGTAGCTGGGAATAGAGGCGTGTGCCACCACACCCAGTTAATTTTTGTGGGGTTTTTTTTTGTATTTTTAGTAGAGATGGGGTTTCACCATGTTGCCCTAGGTGGTCTCGAACTCCTGAGCTCAGGCAATCCACCAGCCTTGGCCTCCCAAAGTGCTGGGATTACAGGCATGAGCCACCGTGCCCGGTCATGTGTATTTGAACTCTTATATTCAAATACCTATATACGATCTTTACTTCTGTGTCTAATAAGCATTTAACATTCATAAAACCAAACTTCTGACCTATCGTATTACACTTGCTCATCCTATAATTTTCTAAGTCCATTATTCAGGCCAAAAAGATCTTGGATTCCACCCTCTCTTTCATTGTTTCTTACACTCCATATCCAATTCATCATCAAGTACTATTGATTCTGTCTTTAAAATATATCAAAAATGTTACTACTTATTAGCTTCTAATAAGTAACTGGTCAACCTGGTCCAAACTACTTTCTCCTCAATTATAGCTAAAGTGATTCTTGGGAAACATAGTAATGTTTTCATATTATACTCAAAGTAAAAGCTAAATACCTCAAAGACCTTAAAATTTCTCATAAGATATCCCTATGAGTTATAAACCCATCTCTTGTCCTTTTAAAAATGTACTTGTATTTTTTATCCAGTCTACCATTGGCGTGGACCAATGGTCCGTGGGCATTTACCAGTCTATGAGCATTTAGGTTGACTCCATGTCTTCGCTATTGTGAATAGTGCTGTGATGAACATAAACATGCATGTGTCTTTATGGTAGAATGATTTGTATTCCTTTGGGTATATATGCAATAACATGATTGCTGGGTTGAGTTCTTTGAGAAATCGCCAAGCTGCTTTCCACAGTGGCTAAATTAATTAACATTCCCACCAGCAGTGTATAAGTGTTCCCTTTTCTATGCTACCTGGCCGGCAGCTGTTATTTTTTTCTTTTCAGTAATAGCCATTCTGACTCGTGTGAGATGGCATCTCACTGTGGTTTTGATTTGCACTTCTCTCATGATTAGTGATGTTGAACATTTTTCATATGCTTGTTAGGTACATGTATGTCTTCTTTTGAAAAGTGTCTGTTTGCCAGGTGTGGTGGCTCACGCCTGTAATCCCAGTGCTTTGGGAGACCAGAGTGAGCAGATCACAAGGTCAGGAGTTTGAGACCAGACTGACCAATATGGTGAAACCCCATCTCTACAAAAAATACAAAAAATCTAGCTGGGCATGGTAGTGCACACCTGTAGTCCCAGCTATTCGGGAGGCTGAGACAGGAGAATTGCTTGAACCCAATGTGGAAGTTGCAGTGAGCCGAGATTGTGCCACTGAACTCCATCCTGGGCAATAGAGGGAAACTCTGTCTCAAACAAACAAACAAACAAAAACAAGAAAGAAAAGTGTCGCTTTACGTCCTTTGCCAACTTTACACCATGAAATATGCAACCATAAAAAGAAGAAGATCATGTCCTTTGCAGCAACATGAATGGTGCTGGAAGCCATTATCCTAAGCAAACTGACACAGGAATGGAAAACCAAATACTCCATGTTCTTATTTATAAAGTGAAGCCCAAACGTTGAGTACATATGAACACAAAGAAGGGAACTGACATGGGGGCCTGCTTGAGGGTGGAAGGTGGGAGGTGGATGAGGACCAAAAAATTACCGATCAGGTATTACGCTTATTGACTGGGTGACAAAATAATCTATATACCAAACCCCTGTGACATGCAATTTACCTATATAACAAACCTGTACCTGTACCCCTGAACCTAAAATAAAAGTTAAAAAAAAGAAAAGAAAATCAACCTGTAATTCTTTCTCTCACTTTTTTGCAGCAACACTGGCCTCCTTGAAGTTTCTTGCACACGTCACATCTTGTTTTGAGGCTTTTGAATTATTTTGCTCTCTTTGCCTTTAATAATCTTTACAATGGGTAACTTGACAGTTTCACTACCTTATCCCAATGATCAAAGTTAACATCACCAGTAATGAGTAGTGCTGATATCATGTATTCTTTGATAAATAGATTAAGAATTGTATTTCACCTTAGTGGTATTCTTCCTCCAAAATCCATAATCCTTGTATAATTATGAGAAAATATCACACAAACCCAAATTAAATGACATTTTAGAAAACACTTATGCAGTGCTTTTCAAAAGTATCAAGATCATTTTAAAAAGCCTCAGCAAAATAATGTGCAACAGTATCCACATGATTCCGAACACTATCTTTCTCCATTTTCAGATAATATAAAATAATTATTTAAGTCAAAGCTGGTATTTATGTCTTATAAAAGCATTGTGTGGGTTGCACTAAACAATTTTTTCCTGAATCTGGTAAATTCCTACATGGATGTGTTAAGTACTACACTGAAGCACTTTATATTAAATTGACCTGAAAAAAGAAAATAATTGTACATTGCTAATATAAGGAGATTAAATAGGTAAATCGAGTTCTATTTTAGCTTTTTCAAGTGTTTCTCTACTCTCTTCTTCATTTTGGTAGGGGATTATTCATTCCAATGCTCATACAGAAATTCCTTCTTGCTTTTTTTTCTTTTTGGAGGTATAAATATATATATTACTTTCGGTGCATATATATATATATATATATATATATCTGATATATTCTATACATATATATACACACACACACATATATTCTACTCAAATGATGTTCTTCATTTTTCCCCATGAATGATATAGTAGTTACTCAGATTTTTGAATACTGTAACTTAATTCTGACAGTTGAGGTCAAACAATATTGATATTTATGATATTTTTGCTTAAGGAATATCGGAGTCATAAAATAATTTTATTTTATGGAGTGTGGAGAATGCCTGAGAACAAGAGGGATACCTGCCCTGAACAAAGTCCTATTATTTAGTGAAGTACATTTAACAAAGTGCCAACGTTATATTACCAATAAGCCAGCATGATTTACTTCCAGCGATTATGTAGTTTACGAGTAGCAGGGTATTTTTGTCCTCTGTTCAAAGGCAAGATTCTCAAAATAGTGACCCTCGGGTAAGAGACACATAAATTTGGATGAATAAGTTATATTCTATATTTTTGTTTAAGAATTATCTAAATTCTGTGACAGTATATACTACAGGACTAACAACTAAAATAATTCATTGTTTTATGCCATTATAATCAATTACATTAAAATGAATTCTCTCTTATGGAAAATCGGAAGAAGCTACTTGATGCTTATGTCAGACAATTTGTTTGGGACTACAAGGTAGCAATTAGAGGAAAGAATAACTCACTTTTTCTGAAGGCTGCTTTATCTTCATAAGAAGAGCCTTAAAAGAGATAATTTACCTGTTCAACAGTTCAAGGGCCTGTGGATAAAAAGGTGAAAAAAATAATTTCTACCCTTTATTAGCTTATGTTATTCTGGGATCACAGATGATATGAACAGACAATTATAATAGAAATAGATCACTTTAATATTTAAAGCTTTAGGAGTTGAAATATCTATCAGAGAAACTATTGAAGTTATAAGAAGACAGGCAAGAGGATACATGTACTCAAAGGAGTAACAAAATATGGAAAAAGAAAAGTTTCAAAGGAGGACAGAAGTCTAATTTGAATAACGATTAACTACAGGATTTATCAACGTGCAGATCACTGTTGACTTTGCCGAGGGTGCGTTTGGCGAAGTGATAAAGCTACTTTCTGAAGTGGGTTCAAGACAAATTGTACAGAGAGGAACTGATAGAAGAGAATACAGGAAAATTAGTGTAAAAGAGGCAGATTAATTTGAATTTAGCTGGAGGAGACTATACAGAGGGATAACTTTATTTCTTTGAAATGGGAGTTATTAGACAATTTTTACATGCTAGTGAGAATGATTCAATAAAAAGGGAAAATTATGCCTCAGGAGAGGGAGCAGGAAAAAATAAAGAAAAAAAGGGAACATAACAGATAATGTTAGCAAATGTAAGAACAATTGCTGAAACAACAACCTTGCACATATAATAGTGCATGAGGTCTAAGAAGGCATAACTGGAGAAATTTTCTTTGCCTGGCAGGAAGAGGGAAGTGTTCATCCTTAGAAGTATAGATGCAGGTAGGTGGGAGGATGTGGTGGTAGGGACATATATTCACTGTTGCATAATTATTTCTCAGTGAAATAGGAAGCATGGAAAGGACACAAAAAGTTACAAAATAGTCACCTCTGAGAGTTGGGTAGATAGTGGTGGATAAAGAGGGAAGCATAGCAGAACTGCTGGACGTCACTAAGGACCCACTTAAAGTCAATAATACCAGATGGCAAAAAGTTAATTTTCCCTCCCTTCAGCAACACTAAATTTGGTGAATCAGTCCTAAGATGAATTTATTCAGTTGTGATTTTGCTTG
The DNA here is from genome assembly GCF_000001405.40 of Homo sapiens. Taxonomy (NCBI): domain Eukaryota; kingdom Metazoa; phylum Chordata; class Mammalia; order Primates; family Hominidae; genus Homo; species Homo sapiens. The sequence goes on from NC_000005.10 coordinate 85,834,593, forward strand.
AAATGTATAAAAAATAGTATAATACTAATGAAGTTTAAGGAGGGAAGTGAAGACAGATGAAAATAAAGGTCAGTGCAATGATGGTGAGATCAATGCCTTGGAGATGAGGTGTAGGGGAAGCTGTGGAAGGCAGAGAATCATTAGATTTAGGTGCCAAGGATAGGAGACAGGGCACCTTTAGAGTGATTTCCTCCAAGATCTCACGGTGCAATGGTAGCACTTCCAACTGTAGAGTGATTGTACTTTCATAATAGGAGAAATAGTGTTTCATTGTAATAGGAGGCATGTAGTAAATATTTAATACGTATTTTTGATTGGTATTTTAAAATACATCAAGTGTACAACATACATCAAGTATGTTTAAAATACATCAAGTATATAACATAAATATTTAGGTAAGAGGCTGAGGTGGGCGGATCACGAGGCCAGGAGTTCGAAACCAGCCTGGCCAACATAGTGAAACCCCATCTCTACTAAAAATAAAAAAATCAGGTGTGGTGGCATACACCTGTAGTCCCAGCTACTTGGGAGACTGAGGCGGGAGAATCACTTGAACCCAGGAGGCAGAGGTTTCAGTGAGCTGAGACCATGCCATTGCACTCCAGCCTGGGTGACAGAGTGAGACTACGTCTCAAAAAAAAAAAAAAAATAGGTACAGTAGTGTCTCCATTCATTTTACACTGTTATAAAGGAATATGTGAGGCTGGATAATTTATATTTAAAAAAGAGGTTTATTTGATGCATGGTTCTGCAGGCTGTATAAGAAGCATGGTGTCAGCATCTTCATCTGGTAAGGACCTCAGGAAGTTTTCAATCATGGAAGAAGGTGAAAGGGGTACAGGCGAGCCACATAGTGAGAGAGGCAGGAAGAAAGAGAAGGGGAGGAAGGTGCCAGGCCCTTTTCAAATATTGAATCTCACTGTAACCAATAGAGCAATAACCCGCTCTTTGTTGTGGGGATGGCACCAAGCCATTTGTGAGGGATCTGCTCCCATAACCCAAATACCTCCCACTAGGCCCTATCTTCAACATTGGGGATCAAATTTTGACTTGAAATTTGGAAGGAACAAATACAAGTAGTTCTCCCTATGTACAGTTTTACTTTCTGTGGTTTCAGTTAGTTTTCTGTGGGCAATCATGTTTCAAAAATATTAAATGGAAAATTTTGGATGTAAACATTTACATAAATTTTATTACAGTATTGTTATTGTTCTATTTTATTATCAGTTATTGTTAAGCTCTTACTGTGACTAATTTATAAATCAAGCTTTATTATAGATATGTATGTATATGAAAAAACAGCATACGAAAGGTTCTGTACTATCCAGGGTTTCAGATATTCACTGGGGATTTGGGAACATATCCCCCTGGATAAAGGGGGACTACGGTGGAAACACTAGTTAAGTCCTGTGTTAAATGCACTATAATTCAAGTTCCACTGGAGGGATTTTAGTCAGAAAGAGGAGATGTGCTAAGAGATATACTAGGTTTAGTTCGGAGACCACTTGTCTGTATCCTCTGATTCTTGCTCTCTTGAGGCAGGAAAGAGGAGTTATTAATATACAGGAAGGCAAAAGATTCAGAGGCAAGCAGGTGCGACTGTGTGGGCTCAGTTCCCAACACCACCCTTGAATCCATTCTCTAAATTTCCATACCTCTCCTTTTACAGTAGTCTACCCAAATAACATTAAGTTACATATCTAACCAACTTTTTTTTAATTCAAGCTTCACTTTTCTCATATATCATTGTCTTCTATATATGACAAATTTATTGTCTCAAAACTCAAACTCTCTCTGTCCTCATTTTTATTCTATCTCCTCCTTAGAAAATAGACTGTGGCATAGAATGGCAAAGTCAGGATAGTTTTTCATCCCTAACTTTTATTAAAGGAAGCTATCAATGTCAATCTTCCTCTCCATGTCTTTGCTTCAGTGATTCTTAACAAGGAAATTAAGTTGAAAATAGGAGGAATGTGGGTCTTAAATGACACATTTCATATTAAACACTTCCTTTTAAAACCATGCAATAAATATTCTTAAAGTAGTAAATGTTAACAAAGAGAACGTCTATTATGTACCTAATGTGAGTTTTTGCTGGTTTGTGGTATTTAGAATATACATTTTTAAAACATAGAGAAAAGTCAACATAATGTAAGCTGCTTATAAGAGACCTTCAAGAAAAAGGTAATATTTGATAAAACACCTGTGAATGTTAATGAATTTGTCACCCTTTCCTCTAAAAGACAAAGTTATTCCAAGCACTTCAGAATGTCCAAGTTTAGTCTCAAATGATCTATCCTGTGGAACACTGCAAGATTCAGTTTTTAAATCTGTGCTTCAGAGAACAGCAGCCCATCAATTAACCTATTGTTAAATGCATTTTTAACACGCAGGTAATTTGACATTTTGAGATGTAAAATTTGGGGAATGTAAAGAGTAATTTCAATATAGACAGAATAAGTAACCATATTTACACATATGTACATGGGCCATGTCTTCAAGAATTGTTTGCAGTGATAGTTAAAATTGAATAAGATGACAAATTAATGATATTTTCATCCGGATTTGTTAGTCTACTCTATTGCATGTGACAATGATTTAGTACAGTGAAGATTGGCTTTTGTAGAAGTTCTATAAGTAGCTTCAATTAGGAAAATGTACTTAGGCAGACATTCTCAAGGCCTGTCCCTCAGAATGTTAATGTGAGTGGCCTTTAAAAGGAAATCAATAACTAGATAAATCTAGGAAAATTGGTCTAAACAAGGTAACACAGTTTGAACATTTCAGACTCTGATATTTTATGATATTTTGTACATTTGCAAAAGGGATAAATATCTATATGTATTTCTCAAATATATTTGAATACAGATAACCATGTTGCCTTATGAAACATAGTTCCACTATTATATAACTTTGGGAATGCAAGCGTGTGATTTTTTTTGTTATTGTTGTTGTTTTTCTCTTCATTATAACAGGTGTGGAGAGAAAAGAAGTAGGGATTAATGTTAATGGTCAGATAAATTTAGAAAACATTGGTTTAATAAGATTTGAAGAGGGAATCTGGAATCAGAGCATGTGTTTAAGAATTTCTATACTGTTGTATTTAAAACCTTTGCACCCTAGTAGGTCACAACTTTCTTGGCTTTTAGAATATTTATCTGTGAAATAGGACATTTAAACTAATAACCCTCAAGGGCAATTTTAACGCCTGATGAACCTGATTGGATGTGGGCCCACTGAACCTGGGCCTGTTTTTTCTCAAGTATGCATATTTCAGGAAATGGAGAGACAATGGGTAAATCGAAAGAGTTAAGGAAGAGCATCCTTGAAACACTGGGGAGTGTTACTGGTTGAATTGTGCCCCCCCCCCAACCAAATTCATAACTTGAAGTCCTCATTCCCAGTGCCATAAAATGTAACCTTACTTAGACATAATGGATATTACAGATGTAATTAGTTAAGATGAGGATACTGGCCCCTACTTCTGTATTACTGTTAACTTATGTTATTCTGGGGTTAGTTTATGTTATTCTGGGGTCCTTATAACAAAAGATGCCGGGCTCAGTGGCTCACACCTGTAATCCCAGCACTTTGGGAGGCCAAGGTGGGTTGATCACTAAGTCAGGAGTTCGAGACCAGCTTGACCAACATGGTGAAACCCCGTCTCTACTAAAAAATACAAAAATTAGCCAGGCGTGGTGGCAAACGCCTGTAATCCCAGCTACTCAGGAGGCTGAAGGAGAAGAATCGCTTGAATACGGGAGGCGGAGGTTGCACTGCGCCGAGATCACGACACTGCACTCCAGCCTGGGCGACAGAGTGAGACTCCATCTCAAAAAAAAAAAAAAAAAAGGACAGAAATATACACACATCTATGAGGAGACAGAATGTGAAAATGAAGACAGAAATGAAATGATGCTTTTACAAACAAAGAAATGTCAATACCAGCAAACCACCAGGAGCCCGAGGAAGAGGCACACAGCAGGTTTTTCCTCACACTCTCAGAAGAAACAAACTGCAGAAACTTTGATCTGGGACTTCTGGCCTCTAGAACTATGAAACAATGAATTCCTGTTGTTTAAGCCATCGGTTTTTGATGCTTTGTTATGGCAGTCTTAGTAAACTAATACAGAAGCAAGACAATAGGCAAAGTACATTATACAAAAAGTTAAGAATTAACATATGTCTTTGTACAGAACACATTGTAATTTCTACCCACACAGGGAATCCGAAAACATGAGTTATTACATAATTATTTTGCAAGTCAAAATAATTTTTTTAAATGACAGTGTTTCAAAATATCTCATTATACGAAAGAGGTGAAAGTAGAGTTGTAACACGAGTGTAGAAGCAGTGAGTTGCTTGAGCTTCCCACTCCTCCACCTGCCTCCCTATTACTTCTGGAAGAGGATATGAGGCACCCGTATAGAACTTTTGCATCTGGGACAGCAGTTGGCTGGGTTTCTCACCAGGGGACCAAATGCGCCTTTTTTATCTTCATTTCTTCTTCCAAAACACACCACCACTGGCATCTTAGTTTGAATTCCTTTGCTCATTCTTGTTATTCAACCACCTTCTTGATATCATCCATATGACTCCATAGAATTTTAATAACAGCAATAGTAATAAAAATAATTGTACTACTCATAGTAACAGCATTAATTGAAAACTGTCTATGCCAGGCACTGTTCTAAGTGCTTTATATGTATTAATTCTAAGACATCACTATTAGACATTGAAAACTAATACTAGACCAAAGATTTACAATACTGTAAAATAATGTAATTTCTTCACCATATAAATATGTGTATGTTTTCAGTTACATATAATTTTTGGCATATACTATAATTTCCTCTTGGTGTCTATCTATAAGTTTGCAGTTTCTTCCCAATTTTTGTTTGTCTTACTACAATACTGAATATTGGGCAATACACTGTACAGAATAATTTAATTAATACTGTCAACAGAATTTTTTCTTTCAAACATTAAATGAAGAACTGTGATGAGATTTCCTGGTTTTACTATAAATATTTTCTATGTTTAAAGAAAGCATGTTTATTGAAGAAAAACTGCTTTCTTCTGAATGCTATTAATGGTAAACATAAATGAATTCTAAGTTACTCCTGTGTATAAATCGTCAATGGTATGTAAAAAATACAATACTTAGGACTCAAGCTACAGCAACAAATCGACTTGGTAATTGCATATAACAAGGCTACATAATATAACTCTGCTAATGAGATTTTAATTCTCGAATCTTTCTTGTGAATTAGTCAATGAAAGTAACAACAGAAATTTAGGTTTCTATTGTCACTCTAATTTACTAGATTTTCAGCTATGTGACCTTGGCAAGTCACAACCTTTTGGGCCCTCATTTTACCTAGCATAAACTAAGGGGTTGGTTAGCTAATTTATGAAATTATTTTGACGCTAATATGTAAGACTATATACTTCTAAATAATGTAGCCTTCTAATTTTAGCTATTACTTATTACAAAATTTTAATTTCTTAGTTCTGAATGGCACAATAATGTGAACTTCAGAGTTCAAAGCTTTTTTTTTTAAAGTCATCTTGATCATCATAACAATCTGTAAATGTAAAGGTAATGTAACATAAAATGTAAATGTAATAGACAAGAGAACATCAATTTTACATGTTTATTTAACTGGTAAGATGTAAATACAAATCTCAAAACACTAATATGCATTACTGTTTTAACAGATAGTCAAAATTAGGAACACTTCCTTCTCTAATTGAGGATTTCTTTTTTTTTTCAAGGACTGATTATTTTCAGTTCCTAATTTCAGGTCCCCAGTAGACAGATTGGTTGTTAAGACGATATTAAACAAAATAACTTATGTTTATATCATATAACTTTTCCTAAAAATTATGTGGGCATATATATTGAAAATAGTTATTTAAATATCATGCTTAACTTTTTAATACTGTCAGACGTTTTTAAAATTTTTCTTGACTTCTCCAACCTAAACATTTGAATTTTACTAATTTATTAAGTCACTTAAGAATAAAATACAGATAAATTAATTTCTGAGGTCTCAATTATCTGACAATTTTTGTTTTCTGCATGCATTGGCACATATTTGGCTTATTAATGGAAGCATGGGATTTATGCAAATTGTTTTATGAAAACTATAAATATTATTGTATAAGTTCTGGATTTTTTCCTGAGAGTTTTTTTTTAGTTGTGCATTTTTGAAGTAAATATGTTATTATAAATATTAAATAAAGTAAATATTAAATAAATAACACATCAGAAAAAAACTTGCACACAGTATGCAACTTAAGAAATAGAAAATTAAGGCTGGGCACAGTGGCTCACGCCTGTAATCCCAGCACTTTTGGAGGCTGAGGCGGGTGGATCACCTAAGGTTAGGAGTTTGAGACCAGCCTGGCCAACATGGTGAAACTCCATTACTACTAAAAATACAAAAATTAGCAGGGCCTGGTGGCAGGGACCTGTAATCCTAACTACTCCGGAGGCTGAGGCAGGAGAATCCCTTGAAGTGGCAAGGCGGAGGTTACAGTGAGATTACAGTGGCAGAGATTGTGTCACTGCACTCCAGCCTGGGTGACAAGAAGTGCTACTCTCTCTCAATTTAAATTTATTTTGCTTTTAATTACTGAGATTCTGGAATGAACTTTAGTTGGCTTTCATAATTAGGGGAACATTTTCGGCATTATGTTTTCAAATATCTTCCATCATACAGTTATCTTGTTCTGAACCTCTGGTTCGATATGTGGGAGACATTCTCGAACTCTTCATGTTTCTTATTCTTTTATTCAAAAATTACTTATCTAATTATGTTTGACCTCAGTATGTGAATTATTTGGTCTTAAATTTCAGTAATCCTTCCTTTAGTTGGGCATAAATTCTCAATTGATATACTGTAAGACAGGTAAAATTCTCCTTTAACTTCCTAGGCACTCCTGCTGGGACTAGGAATTAAACTGACATAAAACAGATTAACAGGTGAAAAGTATATATGCTTTATTTAGTTATTTTTATACATACATGGGAGCCCACACAAGAAAATTGGATACCCCAAAAAGCAGTCAGGGCTGAAAGCTTATATACTAGTTTGGACAAAGAGTAGTGAATTGTGAAAAACATGATAAGACAAAGAGGTTTCGGCTAGGACAGTTAAATGTGGAAAGTGACTAGAAAGATAAGGGTTAGTTTAAAAAGGTTTATTTGTACAGATTTCTCCTGGCATCTACTCCTGGCCTGTGGTGATAAGAATGTCTTCCTTCCTCCAATAAGGGCTCCTTTTACATGGGAGCTTTATCTCCTGCTTTGAAAGAAACGAAGGTCAGAGTTCACTTCTTGTATCTGCTGTTTTTCAAGTGCCTTTAACTCAAAATAATCAATATGCCAAAGAGGTATATTTTGGGGTGACATGCTCCTGAACCCCATAAACACCAAATAAACATTTTTCTTCCCATTATTTTTAAAAATTTTATTTATTTTTAACTTATTTTAGCTCATAGTTTCAAAACTATCTTATTCCTTGAAACACATCAAACATATTTATTTTAAACTATTTTATAATAGTTCCATGTATACTCTTTCTGATGCTTCCAGTAGCTGAATATGTATAGACAAAATATTTTGTATTGCTTTCTATTATTTTTATTCACTCTCTCATCTGGTGCCTTCTTTACTTGTAAGTTTGTAATTTTTGAAAGAAAACTTTGGAACTTTATTGATAAACATCATTGAGACATTAGTTGAAATCAAGTTCTTCCAAAGAAGATCTTATAATCACTTATTGTTTAAATTTTCCACATTAGATTCTCTTTTATTGTGATCAGATACATATTGAAATACCATGTTGCAAACTCATGAGAGAGCTGATTTGAGGTTACCTATTCTCAGAGTAAATTTTTGCTCTCCATTCATCCACAACTCAATAAAGAAAAAAGTCTGCTGGTTGTTTTTGTTTATTTGCTTGTTTGTTTCTTTAGTGCAGATAAAGTTTATTATAATCTCTTTTTATTGTAATAAAATATAAATAACATTAAATTTATCATGTTAACCATTTTAAGTGTACAATCCAGTGACACTAACTAGTTCACAATGTTGTACGCTAATCACTGCTATTTAATTCCACAGTTTTTCAAGACCCTAACCATTAACTATGTAGCAATTAAACATATCTTACCATTGCCACTTCCCCCAGTCCTGGTAAAATCAAATCTACATATTTTTTTCTATGAAAATTATCTATTATAGTTATTTCATATAAATGGAATAATACAATATGTTTTCTTCTTTGTCTGGCTTATTTTACTTAGCATTACTTTTCCAAGGCTCATCCATACTGTAGCTTGTGCCAGAACTTCATTTTCTAATTGGCTGAATATATGCCATTGAATACATATATTATGTTTTGTTTATCCATTCATCAGTTGATTGTTTTGAATAATGCTGTTATGAATATTTAGGTGCAAGTATCTGTTTGAGTTCCTGTTTTCAAGTAATTGGGTGTATAACTTGGAGTACAAGTGTTGAGTTATATAAGAGTCAATTTTGTGAAGAATTGCCAAACTATTTTCCAGAGTCTGAGACAATTTACATTCCTACTAGCAGTGTAGGAGGGTTCTAATTTTTCCACCAACATTTGTATTTTTTCATTTTAAAAAGTTACAGCCATCCTAGTTGGTGTGAAGCCACATTGCACTATGTTTTTCATTTACAGTTTCTTAATGAGTAATGATTTTGAGAATTTTTTATGTGTTTATTGGCCAGTTGTGTATCTTCTTTCAAGAAATGTCTATTCAAGCCCTTTGCCCATTTTTAATTTTGTCTGTTTCTTTGTTTTTGTTGTTGTTGAGTTGAAGGAGTGCTTTACTTATTCTGCATATCAATGAAGCAGAATATTTTTTTGACCTCTTCCTGGAACTCAGAGAAATCAGTGAGGGGGTGCTTCATTGACTTAGCCTGCAGCTCTCATCCTCTTGTGGGAGGGAGCGCACAAGCGAACAAGGTGGGAAGAGGAGTGCACAAGCGCTGGAACCTGCTGGCCACTTCAGTGCTGGCACTGGAGAACTCCACTCAGTCGGACCCACTGCGCTCCACCTCTCAGGGGAGGGAGCACCCAAGTGAGAGAGTACAGGAGCCAGGGGGAGGGCTTTTGGGTGCTGGCAGGAGCGAACTCCATGCAGGCCCCACAGCAGCTTCTGGCAACCCCTGACGCCCCAGAGGGCATATTATAGTGCCCTTTCAGCTCTGCCATCTGCGGACGGCTTAACAGTGCCTTTTCACATGAGGCAGCTGCCTTCTACCGGCGAGGGCAAAGGGCAAGTGTGACAGCATTTTGTATCCGCACTTGTGGCTCCTGAGCTCTTGTCTGGTATCCAGGAGAAATGAGGTCCTATGAATGAATTGAAGGGTGGCAAATGCAGGGGATTTTATTGCCAGTGAAAGTGGCTCTCAGCAGGAAGGGGATCTGCAAAGGGGATGGGGTGGGAAGGTAATCTTCCCTTGAAGTCTGGCCATCTCAGGCTGAATTCTTCTCCGAAGTTATGCTGTCAAGATGTCTCTCTGAGATCAAGCGCCTCTCTCCAATGTCCAGACGTAGTCAGGACATCCAGCCACTTCTCCTCTCTGCCGGCTGAGCCCGGGATTTTGATAGGCACAGGACTGGAGGAGGCACGAGGCCATGGGTGGTTTTGGGAAAAAAAGTTTCAGATTTTGGAGCTTTTCAGATTTCAGGTTTTCATATTAGGGATACTCAACCTGGACTAGGTACCAATATATGAATTTGGGGAGGAAGCACCCACATTCAGACTATAGTAAGCATATAGTGAGAGCGTGATTTTTAAAATTCGTTCTGTTAATCTCTTGTTTTTTTTATTGGAATGTTTAATCCATTTCCATTTGAAGTAATTACTGATAAGGAAGAATGTACTTCTGCCATTTTGCTATTTATTTTCTGTATATCTTAAATGTTTTTATCCCTCATTCATCCATTACTGACTTCTTTTATGATCAGTGATTTTTTATGATAGCCCATTTTGATTTTGTCCTCTTTTCCTTATGTGTATACTTTGTACAGATGTTCTTTGTGATTACCATGGGAAGTGCATTTAATTATTGAATATATAACAGTTTAGTTTTAATTCTTACCAATATACTTCAATAGTACGCACAGTCTCAGCTCTAATAAAACTTCACTGGCCCCACACCATTACACAGTGGTTGTCACAAATTACATATTTTCACATGGAATGATTAATAACATATTTATAATTATTATTTTATGCATTTGTCTTTGATATCATGTAAGTGGAGTTGCAAATCCACAACACGAAAATAATGACTTATCTGTCTATGTAATTACTGTTAGCAGATTTATTTCTTAATACAGCTTTATGTTATTGTCTAGTATCCTTTCATCTTAACGTAATAATTCTATTGATTATTCCTTGTAAGTTAGTTCTAGTGGGTATTAACTCCCTCAGCTTTTGTTATATGGGAATGTCTTAAATCTCCCCTCAAATATGAAGGGCAGTTTTACTGGATATAGAATTATTGGTTGAGTTTTTCATTATTTTATCACTTTAAATATGTTATCCCACTGCCTTATGTTCTTCATGGATTCTGATGAAAAATTGGCTGTTAATCTTATTGAATATTACTTCCACATGAGAAGCCATTTCTCTGTTGCTTTATTTCAAGATTCTCTCTTTGTCTTTTGCTTCTGATACTTTGTTTATGATGTGTCTCAGTGTTGATGCCTTTGAGTTTACCCTTGGAGTTCTTTGAGCATAGAGTTCCTTGAGCTTCTTCAATATGTAGATTAATGTCGTTCATTAAATTGGAGAAATGTAAAGCTATTATTTCTTCACATATTTTTCCTTTCCCTTATTCTTTCTTCTTTGTCAGAGACTCCCAAAATGTGCATTGTTTTGCATAATGATATTCCACATGTCACATAGGTTTTTTCACCTTTGTCATTCCTTTTTCTTTCCGCTATTCAGACTGGGTAATTTTAATTGTCTTCAAGTTTACTAATTATTTCTTCTGTCTGCTCAAATCTGCTTTTTAATTTAGTGGGTTTTAAATTTTAGTCTTTTTACTTTTTAGCTTCAAAATTCATTTAGTTTTGAATATTTCCAGCTCTTCTTAATATTATATTTTTTTATACATTTTATTATTTTTTAGCTATTTCTGTTAATTTTTTTGCTCTTTAAGCACATTGAAAATATTTGCTTTAAAGCATTTTTTAGTAATTCCAGTATCTGGCCATCCTCAGGGATATTCTCTTTCTTTCAATTTATTTGTTTCTGTGAACAGGCTATACTTTCCTACTTTTGGTATGCCTCATGACTTTTTTGTTGAAACTGGACAAAGATACTGTGGTATCTTTGGAAATACAATTCTACTCGTTCTGCAGAGTTTGCTGATTTTGTATCTTAGAAGATGTAGTCATTTGTCTACTGTTCTTTTTATGTATGGTCACTGATATTTTTGTTTCTTTATCTTACGTTCAGCTGGTGTTTTGAAATAATTTCTTTCAATGCCAAGAACTAAAGATTAAAAAACAAAACAAACAACAGCAACTACAAAAAGTGAAGAAAATCTCTATAAGTCTTTGCAGATTGGCTGTTAGCTTAGTCTCAGTCACTCCTTCAATATTCACTCAGACTATTAGTCAGAGGGGAAAGCTTAGGGTCGTCTCAGGTCTTTCTTGAACATGCCACTTGCCTTGCGTATGTACATGGCTTTAAAAATTCTCCGGTATATATGGGTGCCTTTTAAAACATTAATTTCCCAAGCAAATTATCTCCCAATCTTTTTCTCCTGCTGTCTAGGCATCCTATGTTTTTACTCAACCATAATCTATCATAATCTTTTGCCTGTGCAGCTCTGGATTTTTTTTTTCTATTTGCCATGCAATATTTTCAAACAATACCCACTGATTTTCTGCCTTTAGTGAGTTCTGTGATAGGAGCAATTGAGATAGTTGCCTTGCCTTAGCCCTTCAGGTGGCCTTCAAGGCCAGTTAGTACAAGCATTCATAATACTTTGTAAATAAGATGAATAGGGCCTAGTCTTCTCTCTCCAGGACCAGGGACCAAGGTAGCAAAATGGTAAATTGGACTGCTGTCTTCAATACTCTCACCAAGTTGGAAAATTAGTGGAAGAAGCGTAAGGAAAAATAACCCAAAGATTTTCTATTATTTTAATATATTTTTTTCCTTGACTTAGCATTTGCTTTGTTGCTATCAACCTTTCTTTGCCAGATTTCTGACAAAGTTGCTTCTGACAGAATTGGCTTGCTTTATGGTGTTTCTGTGGAGGGACAGGAGCTTGGAGCTTCTGCTTCCACCATTTTGTTTTATTCTAATAAATGAATACACTGAAGTTTTACCAGTTTGTGCTCATGACTTGTACATTATTCTCTTGTTAGATTAAAGTAGGTAGGTAGGCAGGTAAATCCACCTTTTTACCCAATAATTCAACTTGATACTGTAACTACTATCACAAAACCTCTTGTGAATTAGGCTTTCAAACATTGTAGCCAACTAGAACAAAGTAGGAGCTCCCAATATTCTGTGTGTGTGTGTGCATGTGTGTGTGTGCATGTGTGTGTGTGCATGTGTGTGTACATGTCTGTCTCTCTGCCTGTTTCTGTCTCTGTCTCTGTCTCTATCTTAATCTCTATAAATCTACATCATCTTAGTTTGTGTTGAAAATCCTTTGTATTAATGTATCACATCTGGCTGTTTTTCTGTCTGTTGCTGAAACTAAATTGATAAAGAAATTCACCATGTATTAGAAGGAATTGGAAAGTACACGCCTCAGAAATGTCTAAAATTGAAATAGCATTGTTTTATTATGTCATAGACTTTTAATTCAAACGATAGACCATAGTTTTATGCTTTTTTTTTTTTTTTTTTTTTTTTTTCTGAGATGGAGTCTCACTCTGTCACCCAGGCTGGATTGCAACGGCACGATCTTGGCTCACTGCAACCTCAACCTCCCGGGTTCAAGCCATTCTCCCTGCCTCGGCCTCCTAAGTAGATGGGATTACAGGCACCCACCACCACACCCGGCTAATTTTTGTATTTTTTTTGTAGAGAGGAGGTTTCACCATGTTGGCCAGGTTCGTCTTGAACTCCTGACCTCAGGTAATCTGCCCGCCTCAGACTCCCAAAGTGCTGGGATTACAGGCATGAGCCAATGAGCCCAGCCAGTTTTATCCATTTTCAAGTGAATGAATTTCTTTGTTTTTCTGAAGTTAGGTTATGGTTACGTTGCAATTGCCTTTCTTAATTTATAGTTAATTAATTATGTGCTTAGATTCTTGCAATCGATTTTGCGTTACTCATCTTTTTCACTGTCCTTTTGACCCTTTGACTTTCTTGTGTATTCGTAGATGCTCTTTAGATATTAATTCTTCCTTCAAATGTTATTTTAAAGAAATCCCTGTTAAATATAAAATATTTAACCATTGTAGGACTGTAGATATTTAAAATGTGGCAGAAATTTATAAAAAAGAAATCTAAAAATGTTTCTGGAGGTTGTGATAAACAATTAGTGCAATATCTTAACAGTATGTATTTTTTTTTTTTTTGAGATGGAGTCTCACTGTCACCAGGCTGGAGTGGAGTGGCACAATCTTGGCCCACTGCAACCTCCACCTCCTGCCCAGTTAATTTTTGTATTTTTAGTAGAGACTGGGTTTCAACATGTTGGCCAGGATGGTCTCCATCTCTTGAGCTCATGATTCGCTTGCCTCAGCCTCCCAAAGTGCTGGGATTACAGGCATGAGCCACCGCGCCCTGCCAAGATGTATTTTTTAAAGAGGTTAAATATTTGTTTTTTAAATTAGAAAGTTTTCCTAATAACTAAACTTTTTTAAAAAAAATCATTAGTTTTAGAAAACAAATTTGAGCAGAAAACGGAAATGACTTTTTTTTTCGTTTTCTGTGAATCAGCTGTTGCGAATTTTAAAAATCATTTAAAATTATTTAAACAATTGATTTTTACACGTGGGGAGTATTTGTTAATTAATGTCATATGATCCATGATTTCCTATGCACCAGAATATAGTATTATTCAGATATTTTATTTTGGTTTCTGTATTTTCATAATTTATGTCAGTTCTGAAATGCTTAAAAACATACTTTTTCAATAATAATATCAAAAAACTCTCAATGAATAACACACATATATAAGGTGGCAATTTTTTAAAATTATCTATTTGCACTTACTACACCAAATAAGACAAATCACAATATTATATAATTATATACATGGGTTTATTATTATCACAGTAGTAAGATTAAAGTATACAGCACAGTAAAATGATTATCATGACTTCTATAATCCTTAGGCATAACAAGCCTTTTTATCATTTTTAAGCATAATAAGGCCTTTAAACTCTATTTATTTATACACATTTGCAGGTGTGTGTAAATAAATAATTTCCTACAGAAAAACAATGTAATCCTTGAGGTAAAGATTTCAGATGCAATTGTTGCACTCTAGATGTTTCCCTTTACACCTATTTCAAAATTGTATTGGTCAGCTATTACTGTGAAGCAAACAAACAAAAATCTCAGTGCCATTCAACAATAAGCACTTTTTTCTCATAGCTCTGAGCTTGGCTTAATAGTCTTTTCTCTCTGCTATAAAAAATTGCCTGAGATTAAGTCAAAGAAAAGATGTTTAATTGGCTCACAGTTCTACCAGCTGTATAGAAAGCATGGCTGGGGAGGCCACAGAAAACTTACAATCTTGGCAGAAGGTAAAGAGGGAGGAACCATGTCTTATGTGGCCAGAGGAGAAGGCAGAGAGAATGAAAGGAAAGGTGCTACACACTTTTAAACCACCTGATCTCTTGAGAACTTACTCAATATCACAAGGACAGTAAGGTGGAAATCTGCCCCCATGATCCAATCACCTCCCACCAGGCTCCTCCACCAAGATTAGGGGTTACAATTTGACGTGAGATTTGTGCAGGAAAACAGATTCAAACCACCTCATTCCACCCCTGACCCCTCCCAAATCTCATGTCCTTCTCACATTGCAAAATACAATCCTCCCTTTTCAACAGTCTCTGAATTCTTAGCTCATTTCAGCGTGAGCTCAAAAGTCTGTAGTCCAAAGTCTCATCTGAGACTACGCAAGTCTCTTCACCTACGAGCCTGTAAAATCAAGAGCAAATTAGTTACTTCCAATATACAATGGCAGTACAGGCATTCGGTAAATACACCTATTCCAAGGGGAAGAAATCAGTCAAAACAAAGAGGCTACAGGCCCCATGCAAATATCAAACTCAGCAGGACAGTCTTTAAATTTTAAAGCTCAAAAATAATCTCCTTTGACTCCATGTCTCACATCCAGGCCACACTGATGGAAGGAGTGGGCTCTAAAGGCCTTGGTTATCTCTGCCCTTGGGGCTCTGCAGGGTGCAGCTCCCTCAGCTGCTTTCATGGGCTGGCATTGAGTGCCTGCAGCTTTTCTAGGTGTGCAGTGCAAGCTTTTGGTGGATCTACAATTCTGGGTTCTGGAGGACAGTGGCCCTCTTCTCACAGCTCCACTGGGCAGTGCCTCAGTCCCCACTGGGGACTCCAAATATGAAGCCTCCAACCTCATATTCCCCTCAGCACCGCCTTAGTAGAGGTTCTCCATGAGGGCTATGCCCCCACAGTAAGCTGTTTTCTGGACATCCAGGCTTTCCATACATCCTCTGAAATCTAGGCAGAGGCTCCCAAGCTTCAGCTCTTACCGTCTGTGCACCTGCAGGATTAACACAATGTGGAAGCTGCCAAAACCTTTGGCTTGCATTCTCTGGAGCAGAAGCTTGAGATGTATCTGGGTATCTCTTAACCAAGGCCAAAGCTGGGGCAGCTGGAATGCAGGGAGCAGCATCCTGTGGTTATGCAGGGCAGGGGGTCCCTGGGCAGGGCCCAGGAAAACCATTCTTCCCTCCTAGTCCTCTTGGCCTGTGATAGGAAGGGCTGCCACAGTGGTCTCTCAAATGCCTTGGAAGCATTTTTCCCATTGTCTTGGCTATTAATATTTGATTCCTTTTGTGCAAATTTCTGCAGCTGACTTGAATTTCTCCCCCAAAAATTGGATTTTGTTTTCTACCACATGATCAGGCTTCACATTTTTTCAACTTTTATTCTCTGTTTCTCTTTTAAATATAAGTTCCAGTTTCAGATGATCCTTTCCATCACACATATGATCATATGCTCTTGGAAGCAGCCAGGCCACATCTGGAATACTTTGCTGCTGAGAAATTTCTTTCACCAGATACCCTAAATCATCACTCTCAAATTTTAAATTCCACAGATCTCTAGAGCAGGGGAACAATTCCTCCAACTTTTTTGCTAAAGTATAACAAAAATGACCTTTTCTCCAGTTCTTCATCTCCATCTGAGACCTCCTCGGCCTGGACTACATTGTCAATATCACCATCAGCATTTTGGTCACAACACTTTAATAAATCTCTAGGAAGCTTCAAACATTTCCTCATCTTCTTTTCTTCTTCTGAGCCCTCCAAAGTGTCCCAAACTCTGACCATTACCCAACTCCAAAGTTGTTTGCACATTTTCAGGTACCTTTATAGCAATACCCCACTTCCCAGTATCAATTCTCTGTATATGTTCATTCTTGCATTGCTATAAAGAACTACCTGAGATTGGGTAATTTATAAAGAAAAGAGGTTTAATTGGCTCATGGTTCCATAGGCTGTACAGGAAGTATGGCTGGGAGGTATCAGGAAACTTGCAATCATGGGGGAAGATTAAGAGAAAGGAGTCATGTCCTTCCACAGGGCTGGAGCAGGAAAAAGAGAGAGAAGGAGGAGGAGGAGGAGGTGCTACACACTTTAAAACAACCAGATCTCATGATGACTCACTCACTACCACAAGAACAGCAAAAGGAAAATCCACACCTCTAAGCTAATCACCTCCCTCTAGGCCCCTCTTCCAACAAGGGATTAAAATTTGACATGAGATTTGGGTGGGGACACAAATCCCAACCATATTAGTTGGGGATCAGCTCATATAGCCTAAGTTTAGCTAGGCATTTCCTCTTTAAACAGCAGATGTAGCTGGGCTAGGCTTATTGTTGCAGCTTTGTCTCTGGTCTGCTCCCTGTGTACTAAATTGGGACCTAGGCTAAAGAAGTGGCAGCTACATGGGGAAAACTTGCCTTATGGTGAGGCCAGAGGTTAAAGAAAGAAAGAACATGCAATGCCCTTAGATACCTGGGAATGGTTCTGGCACACTTTTAGTTTAGCCCATATGCCATTAGCCAAAGAAAGTCACATTGCTAGATCCAAATCCAATTTTGGTAGTAGAAATTGCAAAATCATATGACAAATGATATGAATAAAATGATAGATATGTAATTGAGCCAGATAATTTAATTTACCACAGTTAACAAGCTTTATGTCCTTTCATTTTTTCATTTACAATTTTAGCACATTTTACTGGACTCATTCTTCAACTTTTGTGTTGTCAATTACTATACAGAAATATTTAATAAAAGATTCCAAATAAAATATTTTAATCTTGTTTTTAGATATTACTTAAAACAATCTATTAATATCCACACCCAGCTTATCAAAGTTGACTTTAATATGCAAGATATTTAGTATCTGTAAAATATATTTTATATTAGACTATTTTATGTTGCCAACAACACAAAATTTGTAATAAAAAATAGATATGTTTGTGTACATAGGAGCTCTGGTAAAATCTGAAGATATACCAGAAGCACTTATCTTTTTAGAAATATTTGTCATATTGAAATTATGACTGCTGCCTGAACAGAAGTCCTGGTTATTTCCCATTTGCCCTTTCTGTTTCATTTTATTTCATTTTTTGCATAAATTGTGATGTTTTCTACTGGTATGATATTTGCATTAATAAGTTGATATTTGATTTCTCAAAAGCTGTGTTTTTTCATTTTTATTGATAACAATGATGTGTCTATTTCTCAAAACTAACAAAACAAATATTTTGTTAATAGGAAATATGTGCATAATTCTACACTGCAATGAAAACTGATTAGTCTACAAGATAAAATCCTAGCATGTTATTTTTGCTTTTTTTATTTCCCTTTTTTCATTTTTTATTGCTTTGTAGATAAACATCAAAATATAATTTCCTTTTCTCTCATGCCTCAACACACTTTATTTTTGTTCTGCTGCTTATTTGACCATCAGATTTCTGAAAACTCCCCAAAAGTTATAAAAGCAATAAAAAACTTGACAGATAGAGAAATAAGACAAAGGTATTAAAATCTTATTTAAAGTCTCTTACCGTAAAAACCAGCCTGTGGCTCATGCCTGGGCTAAATGATTATCATTTATTGTGTCGTAAGCAGCATTTCCCAGGAAAAGACTGGACATTTGGCCAACATGGCTTATATTAACAGTGTGTTACTTGCCCAAATCCCTAAGGTTTTTTTTTCACTTTCCCAGTCTTGCCACTTGGTCCATGATTACTAGTCTGAGTGTTATAATACCCTCAGAAATATCTAAAATGTTTACAATGGAAAACATATTTCATTGTAATCACATTGAATATACACATTATTTATTTAAACTTTAAGACGATGATATATAGAAAAAATATACAAGTCGTATCAGAAGGAAAAAATAATCATGTTTCAGAAGCAATGTCCACAATGAAATAAAGAAACCAAGGCAGTATTAGTAAGCAACAGTAAAAACAACAACAAAAACATCAACAAATAACTGCAGAAAAAGATAAATACTAGCTTAAGGTACTGCAACCTTCCATACTAGAAATTATGATACATTCATATGAAATTCTGTTTCCAGAAATGTTGAATAAGCTGGATCCTTAACAATCTTCCTATTGAGAGGAATTGAAAAGATTAGACAATTACGAAGAAGAAGGAGGGAGCTATCAGTAAGAATTTTCAGGGTCAAGACCCCAGAAAAAAGGGAAGCAAAGAAAGGTATATTTGTTGCCACTTCTCTCCTCATGGGGTTTTCAGATTAGAAAGTACTAGTCAGAAAGCTGAGAAGCTGAAATGATCTTGTAGCAAGTTACCCATGGGTAAGAGAAACATAGATTAGATTTTAGAGTCCTGTAATGTAGAAAGACTGGGAAATGACACAAACTTTCAGTCAGGACCTCAAATGTCCACACCTTAAAAGTAATTGCAATTCCAGAATTGGCCAGCTCTCATGGTCCCAGTTCAATATTAGTTCAATCTCTGATTAAAATAAGATCCTCTATCCTAACCCAGCTGGCTGACCAAATCAAAGTAAAACCTCTTTGGAGGATGACACTATCATAAAGACTCAGTTTAATCTACAATATCTGACATTTAACAATATAACCGAGTATGAAGAGAAATAATTTTTTGACTGGAAATCATAAGGAAAAACTATACAATAAAAAGAGAAAAACATTAAGTTATCTTAAGATGTAAAATGAATCATATGACATAACAGACATTTAAATGGAAGAAGATGAGTAAGCAGGATAAATGTAAATGTACTAAATGTCCCCATTAAAAATACATAAGAGTGGTGTACAAAAAATGACAACCATATGCTGCTTATGAAATATAAACTATCAGTATAAAGAAATGTTGAAAGTAAAATGGAGAGAGAAAATACACAATGCAAACTCCAATCAGTGAATCTTAAACTTTTTAAACCCAAGAGCTCCTTACAATCTTAAACTTAGTTGATGATCTCAAATTATTTTATGTGAGATTTAACTACAAATATTTACAATGTTAAAAATAAAATGGAAAAATAAAATGTGCATTAGTTTAGTTTAAAAAAAGAAAATATCTATCATATGTTAATATAAATATTCTAAGAAAAATGTATCTTCCAATGCAAAAATATTTAGAGGGAATACTGGTATTGTTTTACATTTTTACAAACATACAATGTTTATCTATATATATAAAATATAAATACACAACATATAAGACATCTCTAGATATCGAGAGAGAGAAAGAGAGAGAAACTCTTTGAAATTATGTAGTTTCATGTTTCACTTGATCAGGCTTAAAAAGAGGAAATTTGATATGCTTTAATCTCACTATTTACTTTGCTAGATGAAATATTTAGTATTTTGGTGGGAGTAAGCAAAGACGGAGGTCCAAAAAACCTATGCTACAGATTTTCATTTTATGCCTTTCTTGCTTTAAGTATTACTCCTTAACCTGCTTGAGGCAGTAAGTTGTTCTTTTTTTCCATTAGGAACTACCCTCTATCTTGCCCCTCTTCATGTTAATAGTATTCTCATATAAAATATTATCAATGGGCATTAATTTGGGACCATATCTCTCTTCAAATTCCAGTAAATGTGTATGCCTTACAGGCATTCAGAATTTTTAGATTTTCCTTTGATTTTTCCATTTTTCTTTTTAAAATACAAATGCTGTAATATAGAGTTGGAAAGTGTTGTCATGAGACTGTATTAAGTGTCCCTTAAACTTGTTTTCAAGGTGGGTTTAACCTTCACATATGGTGGATTGCAGTTTCTTTAGTGCTTTCCTTTAGCTGATCTTCTTGGGCCGTATATTTTTAATAGTAATCTCAAAGACATGATCCTTGATATATCAAGTGATAATTGATATGCCATACTGTTATAATTCCTAGGTTTAAAATCTGGCACTCTACTTGGCACACTATGGGTTAAATACCTTAGTGCCAAGTTTGGGCAAGTCTGTGCCTCTGTTTATTTATTCATGAAGTGAAGATGATGAGGATACTGACCTTATAACATTGACATGATAAACAGATGACTTAATGCAAGGAAAGCACGTAGAATAGTACATAGCACATAGCAAATTACAAATAAGCATTAGCTATTATTTTCATTAATGTTGCTCAGGTGTTTGTTTGACTCATACCATTTTTACTTCTACCAATGATGAAAACAGTTCTCCCTTGATATACTGGTTTGCTCACTTTAGTAATGATTATTCACAGGAGGGTTCTTAAAATACAAGTGGGGCACCCGAACAGAAAATGGGGTTAATCCAACTTATCAGCGTAAGGCACATTTAAGTTCTGATGTTGAAATCATTTGTTTGTTATATGGACATATCAGAGAATAGGACTCCTAATTTCAGACTGGTTTAGAAACACCAGGATTCATTTTAATGAAAATGCAAAATAATTAGTAGTGGTTGCCTATAATCCTACATCAAGAAGTGTTTGGAGACTCATGCAGATTCAATCAGAATGATTATTATGGTTCTTTCGTAACATCAGCAATGGACAAGAGTCTGGATGTTGGCACTTGGGAATTTTTCAAATTCTGTTATAGCAGTTTAGCATTGTGTGTTGCTCTGAACTCAGAAGAAACATCTCTGATTATTTTGCTTTTTATAATCATACCTTTAGAAACAGAGCCAAAATCAAAACAGGATAAACTGATTAACTTACATTAACCTTTCCTTCTCAGTTCTTCAGCAGCAGATTGACAATGAAAAAAGTGTTTATATTATGAATTTCCCTGTTATATAATGGAAGATAATTTAAGGTAAGTCATATTCTTCATTATTACTTTAGTACCTTTAAAAATTAAAATGATTTGTAATATAATGAAAAAGAAAAGCAGTAAAAATGCTTTCAATAGAGATAGTATATATAATATATAATAATATATATAATATAATATATAATAATATATAATATATATAATATAATATAATATATTATAATATATAATATGATATAATATTATATAATATAATATATAATAATATATATTATAATATATTATAATATATATTATAATATATAATAACATATATTATAATATATATTATAATATATAATAACATATAATTATATATTATAATATATAATAACATATATTATAATATATATTATAATATATAATAACATATAATAATATATATTATAATATATAACATATAATATATAATAATATATATTATAATATATAATAACATATAATATATAATAATATATATTATAATATATAATAACATATAATATATAATAATATATATTATAATATATAATAACATATATTATAATATATAATATAATATACAATAACATATATTATAATATATAATATAATATACAATAATATATATTATATATATAATAATATATATTATATATATAATATACATTATAATATATAATATAATATATAATAATATATATAATATATAGATTATAAATAAATATATAATATATATAATTATATAATTATATATATTATATATTATATATATAATTATATATATTATATATAATATATATAACAGCTGATGGCTGTTGACAGATTAGTTGTTCAAGTTTGAGGTGGTTCTGCTTGTTTCTTAAAATAAGACAACAGAACTTAATGCATTGATTGACTTTTATTTTTACAAAACATTTCTCTGTAACGTGCAATGCCATTTGATAGTATTTTACCCCAAATGGAACATTTAAAATTGGAGTCAACACTTGCAAACTCTGCTGCTGCTTTATCAAATAATTTGTGTAATATTTAAGTCTTTTGTTACTATTTAAACAACGTTCACATCTTTACCAGGAGTAGTTTCCATCTCAAAAACTACATTATTTGCCCACCCATAAGAAGAAAGTCTTTATTAGTTAAAGTTTTATTATGAGATTGCAGCAATTCAGTCACATCTTCAGTCTCCACTTTTAATTATATTTCTTTTGCTATTTCTGCAACATCTGCAGTTACTTTCTCTGCTGGAATCATGAACTCCTGAAATTCATCCATGACAGTTGAATCTACTTTCTTCCAAACTACTGTTAATGTTGATATTTTTACCTCCTTCTATGAATCCGCAAGACAAACTATCGACAGAGTAAACAAACAATCTACAGAATGGGAGAAAATATTTGCAAACTATTCATCTGACGAAGGACTAATATCCAGCATCTATAAGGAATTTAGACAAATGTAGGAGAAAAAAACTAACAACCTCATTAATAAGGAGCTGAACAAACACTTTTCAAAAGAAGACATACATGCTTATGAGAAGCATATGAAAAAAAGCTAAGCATCACTGACCATTAGAGGAATGCAGATGAAAACCACGATGAGATACCATCTCAAACCACCCAGAATGGCTATCATTAGAAAGTCAAAAAATAACAGATGCTGGCGAGATTGTGGAGAAAAGGGAACACTTACACACTGTGGTATTATTCAACTACTGTAAATTAGTTCAACCAGTGTGGAAAGCAGTATGGCAATTCCCCAAAGGGCTAAAAACAGAACTACCATTTGACTCAGCAATCCCGTTACCGGGTGTGTACCCAGAGGAATAAAAATCATTCTATGATAAAGACACATGCATGCAAATGTTCATTGCAGCACAATTCACAATAGCAAAGACATGGAATTAACATAAACATCCATCAGTGACAGATTGGATAAATAAAATGTGGTATATTTACACCATGGAATACTATGCAGCCATAGTATTTTTGTGGAAACATGGATGAAGCTGGAGACTATTATCCTTAGCAAACTAATGCAGGAACAGAAAACCAAACACCACATATTCTCTCTTATAAGTGGGAGCTAAAAATTACACCCATGAATACAAAGAAGGAAACAGCAGACACTGGGGTCTACCTGAGGGTAGAGGGTGGGAGGAGGGAGAGGAGCAGAAAAGATGACTATTGGGTAGTGGGCTTAATACCTGGGTGAAGAAATAATCCTTACAGCAAACCCCTGTGACATGAATTCACCTATGTAAGAAGGCTTCACATGTACCCTTGAATCTAAAATAAAAGTTTCAAAAAATTTTTTCATAAATTCTATAAATAGATGTGTGGTCATCCAGGCTTTGTTATTTGACTTACAGAGCATAGGCAGAGTACATTCAGCATAATTATTAAGGGCCCTAGGATTTTTGAACTGTTAATGAGTATTGGTTTTAACTTGAAGTCACCAACAGCATTACTTCCTAAGAAGAGAGTCAGCCTGTATTTTGAAGCTATGAAGCCAGGGTCTTTAGCTTTCTTATCATCTGTGTGTTGACTGAAGTAGAACTTTTCATTTCCTTCAAGAACGTTTTCTTTGCATTCACCACTTGGCTAAATGCCGAAAGATTCTAAGTTTTACACTATTTTGGCTTGCAACATGTCTGCTTCACTAAGGTTAATCATTTCTAGCTTTTGATTTAAAGTGTGGTACATGTAACTCCTTTCATTTGAACGCTTAGATGCCATTGCAGGGTTGTTAATAGGCCTAATTTTTTTCCTAAGATAATTCTGAATTAAAACCGTCACATTTACTTTCTTATAACTTTCCAAACTGTAGCTATTCACAAAAGCTTTATAAATTTTAGGCTATTGACTTTTTTTTTTTGGTAATACAACATTTTATCCCACATGGAGAATGGAGACAAATTTTTATCACAAAAGTTTCAAAACATTTAACTTTCACATGAGGTAATGCCAGTCCTGCAGTCTGCATTATTCTCCACCAGCATCTGAGAGATGCAGTCCTTCAGCATGAGTTTAACAGCTTAGTTAGCTTTTTAACCACATACTCCAATTATAGTCAGGTTATAAAACAGGAGATAATTTTCAGCATACCAAATCAAACCCATACAATTAATTACAGTAAATTTTCCTCTGATTATAAATGTTATATATTTCATGATGTAATTGGCCTAAGTTCAATAATGATGTGTCTCAGGGAATAGAGAGGCCTGAGGAGAGGGAGAAAAATGGGGGAATGGTTGGTCTGTGGAGCAGCCAGGAAACACACAGCATTTATCAATTAAGTTTGCTATTTTATTTGGGTGTAGTTAGTGGCATCGAACACAATAGTAGCATCAAAGATCACTGATCACAAATAACCATAACAGATATTATAATAATAATAAATTTAAAATATTTCTAGAACTACCAAAATGTGATACAGAGACAATAAATGAGCTCATGCTTTTGGAAAAATTGCACTAATATAATTGCTTGATGCAGGATTTCCACAAACTTTCGGTTTCTAACAAACACAAAATCTCTGAAGCAGCACAATAAAGCAAAGTCCAGTAAAATGTGGTATGCCGGTATAGAAATCTCCATTAATAGAGAAATAAACCCTTACGCTGAACTTCAGGATGACTCAGATGCACATTTGTACACCTAAATAAATAGATGTGTGGAATCTATATCATGTAGGTGCATATGCATGTGTGTACGTAGGTTCATATATTTAAATGTGTCCATAAATATGTAATAGTAATTATAATATATATTTATTGGTTTCATATTTTTTTTTTTTAGATTCAAGGATCACATGTGCAGGTTTGTTACTGGGTATATTGTGTGATGCTGAGGTTTTGGGTATGAATGATTCCATCACCCAGGTACTGAGCAAAGTACCCAATAGTTAGTATTTCAACCCTTGTCCGCCTCTCTCCTTTTCACCTCTAGTAGTTCCTCATTTCTATTACTGCCATCTTTCTTTCTGTGAGTACGCAATGTTTAGGTCCCAATTATAAGTGAGAACATGTGGTATTTAGTTTTCTATTCCTGTGTTAATTTGCTTAAGATAATGGCCCCCAGCTGCATCCATGTTGCTGCAAAGGAAATGATTTTTTTTATGGATGCATAGTATTCCATGGTGTATATGCACCATATTTTCTTGATCCAGTCCACCATGGATAGGCACGTAGGTTTGTTCCATGTCTTTGCTATTGTGAATAGTACTGTGATGGACATGTGAGTACATGTATCTTTTTGGTAGAAGAATTTCTTTTCTTTTGGAGGCACAACTAGTAATGGGATTGATGGGTTGAAAGGTAGTTCTAGTTTAAGTTCTCTGGGAAATCTTCAAATTGCTTTCCACAGTGGCTGATCTAATTTACATTCCTGCCAGCCATGCATAAGAGTTTTCTTCTTTTGAAACCAATTTTTGGTTTTGTTGATTCTTTGAATGAATTTTTGGGTCTCAATTTATTCAGTTCTACCTTAATTTTAGTTATTTATTTTCTTCTCCTAGCTTTGAAATTTGTCATTGTTTTTCTATTTTTTTTTTTTTTTTTTTTTTTTTTTTGAGATGGAGTCTTGCTCTGTCGCCAGGCTGGAGTGCAGTGGCACAATCTCGGCTCACTGCAACCTCTGCCTCCTAGGATCAAGTGATTCCTCTGCCTCAGCCCCACAAGTAGCTGGGATTACAGTCACGTGCCACCACGTGTGGCTAATTTTTTTGTATTTTAGTAGAGACAGGGTTTCACCATGTTGGCCAAGATGGTCTCCGTCTCCTGACCTCGTGATCCACCCGCCTCGGCCTCCCAAAGTGCTGGGATTACAGGCATCAGCCACCGCGCCTGGCCTGTCCTTGTTTTTCTAGTTCCTCTAGATGTGATGTTGTATCATTAATTTGAGATTTCCTGAACTTATTGAGGTAGGCATTTAGTGCTATAAACTTTCCTCTTAACACTGCTTTTGCTGCATCCCAGAGATTTCGGCATGTTGTATCTCTGTTTTCATTTATTTCCAAGAATTTTTTTTTATTTCTGCCTTAATTCCATAGTTTACCCAAAAGTCATTCAGGGAAAAGTTGTATAAATGTGTCCACATGTACATAATAATTATAATATTTATTTATTGGTTCTATTGTTTTTCATCTGTAAAATAGAAATAGTAATAATACCTACTAGCGTTTTAGTAAAGATTAGAATTAATCAACGTATTACTTATGTTATTTTATCCATGTTCCAAAATGATTTTCAGTGACTTCTAAACATCACCAACCTAATTAAAATGGAATTAATTGCAAATAAATATGCAAACAAGTACAAAAAATATAGAGAAAAGGTGAATTCGAGAGCAAGTTTAATATTAAACATAGGCATATGTCTCCATATGCACAATTATAACACATATATATACATGCACACATACCTAGGCATACATATTATATATATGTATATCCTATAGCAAACCTTGTCTCTAAATTTCCTCTTAAAGGTGGTACACATTGTCTAAATCATTCAAAGTACATTTCATTTTCCCACTCTCCTCAGTATCTGTGTATACAGAAATATCCCCTCGCTAACCTAAGTAAAATTTCTTAAACTGATTCATTTTGTACATGACATCACTATTTGTCAGATTATCTATATTCATGGTGTTTTGCACCCAGTAATTGATAATTTAAAGCAATCCTTTCTGTCAGGTTTGGGCACGTAATATTGTGTACAAGCAATTATAAACATATTTGTGAAAAAGATTAAATTTGGCTCTCCATCGAATCAGGAATATCAAGCTTTAGACAAATTGGATATATCAGCATTTTCAGACATCTAATTGTTAATGTTTTTATTGATAAATGAATAAGAAAGAGCTAGATGATAACAAGGCACTTGGCCCATGAACAACACAGGTTTGTACTGCACTGGTACACTTATACATGGATATTCTTTTACCTCTGCCACTTCTGAGACAGTAAGAACAACCCCCTTTTCTGCTCCTCCTCCTCAGTCTATTCAGCATGAAGACAATGAGTATGAAGACTTTTATGATGATCCACTCTCACTTAATAAATAGTATATATATTTTTTCTTTCTTATAATTTTCTTGATACCATTTTATATTCTCTAGCTTACTTCAGTAATACAGTATATAATGTGTATTACATATAAAATATGTGTTAACTAACGTTTATGTTATCAGTAAGGCTTTCAGTCAACAATAGGCTATTAGTAGTTCAGTTTTAGGGGAATCAACAGTTATACCTGGGTTTTTGACTGGGTGGGGTTAGTGCTCCTAAGCCCCACATTGTGCAAGGGTCAACTGTATAAACTTTATCCTTTGTACTCAATTATGCATACTGCTGTGAAGATACTTTGCAGATGAATCAAGGTCTCAAATCAATTGAACTTCAGATGATCAGGTGGGCCTGGCCTAATCACATAAGCCTGTTAAAAGCAAAGATTTTTCTCCAGCCGATTATACAAGGGAAGATTATAGATCTGTATTCATACAAGCCTGGAAAGAAATAAACATCTGCGTTGTGAACTACCTTCATTTCATAACAAAGCCTTGGTCATCTCAAGTCTTCATTGAATCAATGTAATCAGTCTCTTACCATAGCTGCCTGACAGAATAAGCATGAGCATTTTGGGGTATAAATAACATTTACTTCAATTTGGATAGTGTTTTAAAACACAGCATCTGGTAAACAATTACAAATTAGGTGACCTACAGGAAAATGTAATATTTAATAAAGTCATTAGTAATTTTGAAGCAGATTAGCTAGCCATTTGAAATATCATGCAGGGGGTTTAAAACAATTATAATTAATATTTTAACAAGCCTAAAGGAAAAGATGAAAAGGTTGAGAATTTTAGTACAAAGAAAGTATCTCTAAAAACCAACCAACCAAATAGAAAATGCTATCTGGAATAAAGGTTTCAATGCATGGACTTAATACCAGACTAGATATATCAGAAGGAAGATACATAGAAAGGTCTATAGAAACATTTAAACTGATGAACAGAGGAGAAATAAAAGACTGGAAATGAACAAGAATATGAGAGACATGTTGGATGATATCAAATAATCCACAGTATATGTAGTTAGAGTCTCAGAAGGAAAGGAGAGACACAATGGAAAATAAACATTTGAAAAGATAATGGCAAAAAGCTTTTCAAAAATAATAAAACCCTTATCAACACATTCAAAAGTTCTATAACTCCCAAACAGGACAAATATAATGACAAAATACACTTAGACACATAGTCAAATTACTGAAAATTAAAGATAAAGAGAATATCATAGCAAAGCTAGAGGAAGAAAAAAAGACACATTACAACAACCATATGAATTCATTTACTTCTCAAAAAACAGTGTAATGAGTAGAAAAAAATAACTTTGCAAAAAAAAAAAAACCCACCAAACTTGTCAACCTAGAATTCAAGAAAGTGAAAAATATCTAATCTACTTCAGAAATGAAAGGAAAATAGAAACATTTCAGACAAATAAAACGAGATAATATGTTACCAGCAGATTCCCAATATGAAAATTAATATTAAAAATTGTATATAATTTATATGAAAATCATACATATTAAGGTCAAATTTCACATTTTTAGAAAAGTAGATTCCTCTGCTTAACAATTTTAATTAATGCATTCTTTATTTTAAATTCAAGCATTTTAATGATTATAAAATACCAAATTTCTAATTCCTATAATTCTTTTTCAGGAAGGAATTGAAAGTGCAATAGTGAAGACCTTGGCAGGTGAAAATCACCATCTGTTTTTTGAACAGATACACATTAATATAAGGGATTGTGATTTCCTTGTAAACATTTAACTGTAAAGGTAAAGAAAACTCCAGTGTATATAGCAAGAAAAGGAAACAGCAACCTGGGACTGGGGGAATAAAAGAAAATGTTTGGAATTGTTAAAATTTAGGCGTTTACAGGTGAAGAGGCAATCCACAGAATTGGAGAAATTATTTGCAAACTATCCATCTGACAAAAGAGTAATAACCAGAATATATATGGAGCTCAAATAACTCATAGGAAAAAAAACTAATAATCCAATTAAGATTGGACAAAAGATCTGAATAGACATTTCTCTAAAAAAGAAACAGAAATGGTAAACAGGTATATGATAAGGCACTCAATATCAATGATCATCAGAGGAATGCAAATTAAAATTACAATGAGATATCATCTGATGCCAAAAAATGGCTTAAATCCAAAAGACAGGCAATAATGAGAATACGTGAAGGTGTGGAGAAAGGAAACCCTCATACGCTGTCCCTGGGAATGTAATTTAGTACAAAAACTATGGAGAACAGAACAGAAGTTCCTCAGAACACTAAAAATAGTACTTCTATATGATGCGGCAAGCCCACTACTAAGTATATATCTATAATAAAGGAAATAGGGATATTGAAGAGGTAACTGCACTCTTGTGTTTGTTGCAGCATTATTTATAATAGCCAAAATTTGGAAGCAATCTAAGTGTCCATCAACAGATGAATGGATAAAGAAAATGTAGTACATGCATACAATGGAGTACTATTCAGCCATAAAAAAGAATGAGATCTTGTTATTTGCAATAACATGGATGGAACTGGAGATCATTATATTAAGCAAAAAAAAAGCCAGGCACAGAAAGACAAACTTTGCATTACTTATTGCAAAGCTTATTTGGGAAAGCTAAAACTGAAAACAAACAAACTCATGGAGAGAGAATAGAATGATGGTTACCAAAGGCTGGTAAGGGTAGGGAGGGTGGAGAGAAGTGGGTATGGTTAATGGGTACAAAACTATAATTAGAATGAATAAGATCTAGTATTTGATAGCACAACAGGGTGACTACAGTCAACAATAATTTAGTGTACATTTCAACATAACTAAAAGGGTATAATTGTATTGTTTATAACACAAAGCGAGGATAAAAGGTTGAGGTGATGGATGCCCCATTTACCCTGATGCAGTTATTACACATTGTATGCCTGTATCAAACTACATCCTGTATCCTACAAATATATACACTATGTATCCATAAATATTAAAAATTTAAAAATTAAGAGTTTAGGGAAGGAGACTTAGATAAAACAAAACAAAACACTTACTTTAAGGATGGGACTACTGCTCAGTAATGGTAAATGTACACAGCAAGGAAAGAATGATGGACCCAGGAGTAGGAAAAAAAAATTATCCAGATTTCTCAGTGCTGTTAAATGGTCTTAGGTCACTCGCTGAGATACAGAAATGTAAGCAACGTATAAGAAGCTAATGCTGATTTGACATACTATCGAAGCATTTTTCTCTTGGTATAATATGAGAATTTGATCTTTGGCCATTTTTCTAGTCAAGTGCTCTGAACTGAGAGGACCAAATAGTTACAGTATAGACTAAGACCCTAGGTTAACTCACAAAGTCCCATAAAGATTAAAGTGCTGTGTCCATGTATATTTATATTTCCAGAAATACAAAGTCCAGACTTTGAAGACATCTCTAAGTCATAAAAGTCAGAAGCCCCAGGGTTTATTATCTGACCCTTAGAAAGATGTGCCTACATTGCAAGGTGTTAGAGTCAGGACCCAGGATTATTCCAACTCATATCCAAGGAGCAAATGCTCTCTCTCTTTCTCTATGTATTTGCATGTATCCATGCATAAAAATATGTATAAATGTATACGTGTCCATTATTTGTTTATGTTTTTATAAAAATAACATTTTTTTTTTTCAGGAAGAACTAGGGACAACTTTGTCTTGTATATAAATGTTATCCCTCTTCCTTGCCTGTGAAGTGACTGGTTACTCTGGTATATTTTATTTTCCATCTGGCTTTCATTGATTTGTCCCATTGGTAAGGTCTATGGCAAAGGGGGGTCAACATACTTTTCTGTAAAGTAATGCTGTAAACTGAATATTTCTGTTCTCCACAAAATAATATATTGAAGTCTTAATTATCAATGAGATGGTATTAAGAGGTGGGGACTTTGGCAGGTGTGTAGGTCATGAGGTTGGAGCCCTTATGAGTGACATTAGTTCCCTTAGAAAAGAGACTCTGGAGTGCTCTCTCAACCTTGCTACCATATGAGGGCACGGCCAGGGGAAGGCTATCTATGAACTAGGAAGCAGGCCTTCATCAGACACCAAATCCGATGGTGTTTTGATTTAGGACTTCTCGGCCTCCAGATACGTGAAAAATACATTTCTCCTGCTTATAAGCCACCCAGTCTATGGTAGTTTGTTATAGCAGTTCATACAGATTGAGATAGGTAATTAATAAAAATTTGTCTCTTATTCAGAACCTTCAACTGTTCATTCAAGATAAAGTTAATAATGACGAATGTTGAAAACTCAGCACTGGGCACCAGCTGGTGCTGCTGAAAGAATACAGAATAAAATTAGTGTTTCTAATATTGGCAAAAACTGCCAGCTGCACTCAGCTGTTGCTACAGGAAGAAATTTTCACTGCCAGAGTGAAAAAGTGTGTTAAGGTGATACTCACAAGTAGAGAAACAGACAAAAAGCCCACAAGAATGCCCCAGGAATTAAGAAGTCCCTTCCTCCTCCTCCAAGCTTATAGTCTCCTGGTGCCATCTATTTTCAGACCTTAACCCATTTATGTCAGGTGTTCCATTACTGGAACACTAAGCTTGTGGGAGTCATGTATATACTACTGCTCAAGGTCATCGCCAAGGTCTGATTTTTCACAAAAAACATTTGCAACCTGCAGGATAAATGGGCTAACAGGGAGCCATCTGGAACAGCAGAAATGTGCTTTTCACAGTCCCAGTCCCAAAATCAAAAAGGATTGTAGAAAAGAGCAAGTTTAGAGATGAGAGAAAATAAATTACTAACAGGCATACGGTGTTTCTGAGAAAGGAGAGAATGTTTCATCAATTTATGTCATCTGATGCTGCTCTGATGTTTTTCTTTTTCTTGTTGAGATAGTATCATTTCAAGCTGAGGGGATGAGGAAACTTTTCAAGTTATTTTTTAAATGTATTTAAATTATTAATAGAAAGGAAAACAGATTTGTTCTCTAGAAAATTCATGTTAGAAAAAGTGTACAGATTGGTAAATACAAAAGCATGAGTCTATTAAACTATGTAAGATAGGATTAAAAAAGTAAAATAAATTAATAATAATCATAGGAAAGACATGAATTGAGTATTTCTTGATTTCACAAGAAGACTAAAGTTTCATAAAAATAGCTTATACCTCTAAAAAATGTTGTTCCACCAGAAGAAAAAAGATGATTGAATGTGCTGCACCTTCATTCTGATGTTTGTCAGGATTTTTGAAG